>NT_187579.1:0-181496 GCF_000001405.40 Homo sapiens
AATGGAATCATCATCCAATGGAAACTAATGGAATCAACATCGAATGGAATCGAATGGAAACACCATCGAATTGAAAGGAAAGGAATTATCATGAAATTGAAATGGATGGACTCATCATCGAATGGATTCCAATGAAATCATCGAATGAAATTGATTGAAATCATCATCAAATGGAATCAAATGGAATCATTGAATGGAATCGAATGGAATCATCATCAGATGGAAATGAATGGTATCATCATAGAATGGAATCAAATGGATTCATTGAATGGAATCAGATGGAATCATCCAATGGACTTGAATGGAATCATTGAATGTACTGGAATGGAATCATTATTGAATAGAATTGAATGGAATCATGGAATGGTCTCGAATGGTATCATTATGAAATGGAATCGAATGGAATCACCGAATAGAATCGAATGGAACAATCATCGAATGGACTCAAATGGAATTATCCTCAAATGGAATCAAATGGAATTATCGAATGCAATCGAATGGAATTATCGAATGCAATCGAATAGAATCATCGAATGGGCTCGATTGGAATTATCGAATGGAATTTAATGGAATAATTGAACGGAATTGAATCGAATCGTCATCGAATGAATTGAATGCAATCATCGAATGGTCTCGAATGGAATCATCTTCAAATGGAAAGGAATGGAGTCATCGCATAGAATCGAATGGAATTATCATTGAATGGACTCGAATGGAATCAACATCAAACGGATTCAAACGGAATTATTGAATGGATTCGAAGAGTCATTGAATGACTCGAATGGAATCATCTAATAAAATGGAATCAAATAATCCATGGACTCGAATGCAATCATCATCGAATGGTATCGAATGGAATCATTCAATGGACTCGAATGCAATAATCATTGAACGGAATCGAATGGAATCATCATCAGATGGAAACGAATGGAATCATCATCGAATGGAAATGAAAGGAGTCATCATCTAATGGAATCGCATGGAATCATCATCAAATGGAATCGAATGGAATCATCATCAGATGGAATCTAATGGAAACATTGAACGGAATTGAATGGAATCGTCATCGAATGAATTGAATGCAATCATCGAATGGTCTCGAATGGAATCATCTTCAAATGGAATGGAATGGAATCATCGCATAGAATTGAATGGAATTATCATCGAATTGACTCGAATGGAATCAACATCTAACGGAATCAAACGGAATTATCGAATGGAATCGAAGAGAATCATCGAATGGACTCGAATGGAATCATCTAATGGAATGGAATGGAATAATCCATGGATTCGAATGCAATCATCATCGAATGGAATCAAATGGAATCATCGAATGGACTCGAATGGAATAATCATTGAACGGAATTGAATGGAATCATCATCGGATGGAAACGAATGGAATCGTCATCGAATGGAATCGAATGGAATCATCAAATGGGATCAGATGGAATCATCATCAAATGGAATCGAATAGAATTATGGAATGAAATCCAATGTGATCATCATCGAATGGACTCGAATGGAATCATCATCCAATGGAAACTAATGGAATCAACATCGAATGGATTCGAATGGAAACACCATCGAATTGAAGCGAATGGAATTATCATGAAATTGAATTGGATGGACTCATCATCGAATGGATTCGAATGGAATCATCGAATGAAATTGATTGAAATCATCATCAAATGGAATCGAATGGAATCATTGAATGGAGTCGAATGGAATCATCATCAGATGGAAATGAATGGAATCATCATAGAATGGAATCGAATGGATTCATTGAATTGAATCAGATGGAATCATCAAGTGGACTTGAATGGAATCATTGAATGGACTCGAATGGAATCATTATTGTATGGAATTGAATGGAATCATCGAATGGTCTCGAATGGAATCATCCTAGAATGGAATTGAATTTAATCATCAAATGGAATCGAATAGAATCATCATTGAATGGAATCGAATACAATCGGCATCGAATAGAATCGAATGGAATCATCATCAATGGAATCAAATGGAATTTTCTTCAAATGGAATCGAATGGAAACATCATCAATTAGAATCGAATGGGATCATTGAATGAAACTGAATGGAATCATCATCAAAACGAATCAAAATAAAACAAAGAATGGAATCCAACGGAATCATCGAGTGGGATCAAATGGAATCATCATTGAATGGACTCGCATGGAGTCATCATCAAATGGAATCAAATGGAATCCTTTAATGGACTCGAATGGAATCATTGAATGGACTCCAATGGAATCATCGAATGGAATCTAATGCAATCATCATCGAATGAAATCAAATGGAATCATTGAATGGAATTGAATGGAATCATAATCAAATGGAATCAAATGAAATCATGGAATGCACTCGAATGGAATCATCGAATGGACTCAAATGGAATCAACATTGAGTGGAATCGAAAGAAAACATCTAATGGAGTTGAATGGAATAATCAAATGGAATCATCATCGAATGGACTAGAATGGAATCATCGAATGTACCCGAAAAGAATCATCATCGAATGTAATCCAATGGAGTCATCTAATGCAATCCAATGGAATCATCATTGAATGGAATCGAATGGAATCATCATCGAATGGAATTGAATGGAATCATCATCAAATGGAGTCGAATGGAATCATCAATGAATGGAATCGAATGGAGTCATCGAATGGAGTCCGTTAGAATCATCATCGAATGGAACCGAATGCAGTCATCATCTAACGGAATCAAATGGAATCATCGAATGGACTCGATGGAATGATCATCACATGGAATCGAATGGAATCATCGAATGGACTCAAATGGAATCATCATTGAATGGAATCGAATGGAATCTTTGAATGGAAACAAATGAAATTATTGAATGGAATCGAATAGAATCATCATTGAATAGAATCAAATTGGATCATCATCAAATGGAATCTAATAAAATCATCATCGAATTGAATCTAGTGGAGTCATCATCTAATGGAGTTGAATGGAATCAGCAAGGAATTGAATTGAATTGAGAAATCGAATGGAATCCATTGGAATCATCATCGAATGGAACCGAACGCAGTCATCATACAATGGAACTGAATGGAATCAATGAAGGGACTCGAATTGTGTCATCATTGAATGGAATCGGATGGAATCATCGAATGGACTCGAATGGAAACATCATTGTATGGAATCGAATGGAATCCTCGAATGGACTCTGATGGAATCATCATCAAATGGAATCGAATGGAATCGAATTGAATCATCAAATGGACTCTAATGGAATCATCATTGAATGGAATCGAATGGAATCATCAAATGGACTCGAATGGAATCATCATCGAATGGAATCGAGTGGAATCCTTGAATTGAAGCAAATGGAATCATCAAATGGAATCGAACAGATTTGTAAGAAACTTACTTGAACCAAAAAATAGAAAAACAAACAAACCAAAACCCCCTAAAACTTTGACGAGCAAAGTAGACATCAGAACAGGAAATATCACTGGGGATGAAGAATAACATTTCAAAATGACAAAGGGGAAAATACACCAAGAAGTCATGTAAATAAGAATTATGTATGCACACAATAACATTACCTCAAAATACATAATATAAAACCTATTAAAACTGAAAGGTAAAATAGTAAAACCACAGTCATCCATGGGGATTTCAACAGTCTCCTGCCAGAAATTTTTAAATTTTGTTAAACGAAAAGTTGGTAAGGGTAGAGAGGATCTTAAAAATATAATTAGCCAACTTGATCTAATTGAATCTTTTAGAATAATCTAAGAATGAGGAATGAGTTAGCAGAGAAAGAAAAGGCAGACATCAACGTGACATTAGTGTTTCAAGGCTATGAGAATACAACAATAATGGTGTGTGTGTGTGTGTGTGCAGATGGCAAGCTCAATCTTAAAAATATTGAGTTTTAACTGACAATTCATTATTAGGAAAGATAAGAGGAAATGATATCTAGTGAGAGGCTATATGACTGAACTCTAAGATAAAGATCACAGCAGAAATTGTGTACCTGACAGCTCTATAAGGAGGTCAGTCAAAAATAAGTCAGTGATGAATTCTCTGGTGTAAAAGCAGAGGAATGAGGATTAGATTTAAAACACATGGAAGCAGAGTGACTTATGATAAAAACATGAGCTTGAAAATCCTGCAGAGAGAGCTTTAAATCCTGGGTATGATATTCTGCTTGTGTAGGCAATAGTGATAAAAACACAACAACAAAGAGAGGTAAAGAGCACTTTCCTTTGATATAAGTAAAGGGCACGTCTTATTGCACATATATATATATAGGTATTCAACTGAAATTCAACATGTTTCTCTCATTGAAACAGCAAGCTCTCCAGGCCTTCATGTTCCCAGTGAGGTAGGTAACCTTCTGATGATTATACTCACCCTCCCTCATTGCAAAGCCCCATTGTTATTGTCTTGGCTCTGGATTCCCTCAAAAATAGACTATGAAACAAATATCTGGGGTCAGATACTTTAATCAGAAATTGAGTGAGAAAGCACAGAAGTGGAGAAAATGAAACAGAACACGAAGCCAGTGTGAATGAGTAGTTACTGCTATGTGCTCAGTAATGATGGAGGTATGGAGATTGTCTTAAAATAACTTTACAAAGAGATGGGGATGCTGGAATCCCCATCTCCTATTGCTTAAGGATTGCCTTAGAATCATTAACTCTCCACCCCTAACTGCTTCTTTGTTCCTATGTGTGGTTGAGAAGCACTGGTTAGCCTCAAGAAGCTTGCAGGCAGGCCCAAAAATCAGAAAGAAAGGCATGATGTGGGGAGCTCTCAGTTAGCTTGAAACAGGTGAATTTCAGGTGAACACATTGAGTCCAGGACATAGAAGACACGTCATCAGCAATATCTGCTATAGCCAGTTTTCTTTTTCTTTTTAAGAATATATGTACTTTTTATTGGGGGTCCCCAAGTCCCCCTTTGGTTTAATGATTCACGTAACTCAAGAAAGCTGATTTTTTTTTGTGGTTACAGTTTCTAACGTGAAAGAAACCAGATTAAAATAATCAGAAGCATAAAAGCACATAAAGTTGAGTCCAGGACAAACCAGATGTGAGCGTACAGGTGTCCTTTCATAGTGGGGACTTCACACTGACTAATTTTCTTTACAATGGTGTGAGACAACTTGTGTGAACTTGTTGCCAACTAGGGAAGCTCAGTCAGTCTTGAGTCCAGGGTTTTTATTAGGATTCCACCACATATGCATCGAGCGTCCTGTGACTGAACTTAGCTACTTAGTTCCCAACCTCCCTATGCCCTAAGAGAGGTCATATTAATATAGCATTACACAAAGTCATAGGCATATAGAAACAGGTGCTCACAAGAAATCACGTTGTTAGCATCAGCTATTTGATAAGACCTACATTTTCAGGTATACAAAGACTCTCATCAGGCAGCATATACCAAGGGCTCATAGGTTATCATCTCCTAGGAGCTTGTCAAGGGCCAGTCCTGAAGACCTTTGGAATGTGCAAGGTTTTGGAAAGCCATGTCTGCAGAATTAACCCTTCATTGCACAACTTCCAAGAATTTTTTTTTATCTTTAAAAATGTTTTTTGATCTTTGACAATGTACCAACCAATACTGAGTAATTAGTAACAACAGTGTACTCCTGAGTACTTGCAACTGCAAGGAGAAAAAGGACAGATGCACTTACATAGGACAGATGCAAATAGACACCATTATGACAAGTAAAGCTGGAATAATCAATAAATTCCTAAAGACAAAGTGGGGCTGGTCAGATTGGGAGACCGCTGACAGCTGCAGAAGTTGGGAAAGATCCATCATCTTGAATCTTTTTCCCCACAAACCCACTATGATCTGTCAAGCAATTGGTAAGGAATCCAAGAGAGTCTGTATATGATACAGACCAGGGAGAGCAGAACACTTGGGAGGTGATGAGGTCTTGGGGGCTGAGCCCTTATGAATGGGATTAGTGTCTTTATAAAAGAAGCTCAATGGAGTTCTTGTGTGCCTTCCACTATGTGAGGACATAGAAAGAAGGCACCATCTATGAACCATGAAATTGGCTCTCATCAACACTGAATTTCTGAGCATCTTGACCTGAGATCTTACAGCCTCAAGAAGTGTGAAAAAAGAAATATCTGTTGTTTTTTAGTCACCCGGTTTATGTTATTTTGTTATAAGAGTCCAAATAGACCAAGATATTCCACTTAATATGTAGGGGAAGGCAACAAAAACTGCCACACTTAGAATACTCCTGACGCTGGGAGTATGAAAACAGGAAAAACAAAACAAAACTGCTCTTGAAGGTGAAGGAGGAATATCACTGAGCTCACCAACACAGCCAGGAAAAGAACAGAAGTGTGAGAAGGCTACATTCCTGAGACCCTGAGAAAAAGTACCTGCATAAGACTGAGATGAAATTACCTACCTTAGTTATAATTGAAATCCCAAAAAGAAAAGAGGAAAAAATAATGGAGCAAAAGAAATATATTTCAAAATAACTGCCAAAAATATTCTAAAAGAAGTGACAGGAAATCAAACTTCAGATATAGGAAACTCAGAGAATGTCAAATAGAACAAAAAGAAATAAGAATTCCATCTTGAAAAATCTTTAAAAAATCAACTCTAAATTTTATATCTTGCTCCAAATATATAGAGGTATAAATAGGTTATCATCAAGATATGGAGAAAGCCATATCATGGAAACACTAAAATAAAGCTGTGGAAGGACTACATTGATATTAGACACAACAGAGTTCAGAACAAGAAATAGTATGAGATGAGAGATAATAAATAATATAATAATCAATTCTCAAGATGTAAACATCCTACTAATTAGGATATGCAGCTAACAACAGAACCTCCAAATACATGAGGTAAAACAGGAAAGAAATCAAAGGTAAACTAGAAAAATCCAAAATTATATTTGCAGACTTCAACACTTTTGTTTTAGTAATGGACAGACTAGGCACAAACTCAGTAATCATATGGAAGATAAGAAAAACAATATCACCAACAAGACATCCAATCTTCAATGGCAGATACTTTTTCCTTTCAAGTGAAAAAAAAAACAGTATGGCATATTCTCTAACAAACCCAGAATTTCTAATATTTGCTTTCTTCCTTCCTTCTTTCCATCTTCCTTTCTCTTCTCTTCCCTTGCCTTCTTCCTTCCTTTCTTTTCCGCTTTCTTTTCCTTTCTTTTTTCTCCTTCCTTCCTTCTTTCCTTCCCCTTATTCTTCCTTCCCTCCTCCCTCCCTTGCTTTCTCCCTCCCTTCTTTTCTCTTATTCTTTCTCACTTTCTTTCCTTTTTTCTCCCTTCCTCCCTCCCTTTTTTCCTTCCTGCCTCCCTTCCTTTCCTTTTTCCTTCCTTCCTCCCTTCTATTTTCTTTGTTTGCCTTCCTCCCTGTTACCATTCTCTCTTCCTCCTTTCCTTCCTCCTTCCATCACTTTTTCTTTCTTTCTTGAGTTCTTGCTTTCTTTTTTCTCCTTTCCTGCCTTTCTCCCTTCCTCCCTCCCTTCTCTCATTTCCTCCTTTACTTTCTTCTTTCCTTCCTTCCTTTTTTCTTTCTCTTTAGTACAATTCATATTATTTAAAAAAAATTAAGAAAGAGAGGCAGAAAAATAAAGAACACTTTAATCTGCAGGTAAATAGATTATGTCTGCTGTAGACAAAATAATGGACTCACAAAAATGTTCATGTCCTAATTCCCGGAGTCTAACATACAAATATGTTAGGTTGCATGGCAGTGGGAAATTAGATTTCAAGTGAAATTAAGGTTCCAAAGGCAGCGGGGACAAAAAGCCACGGCGGCAAAAAAGCGCGGCAGCAGGGGCAAAAAGCCACGGCGGCAGTTGGAGAAAGACGCGGCGGTGGGGACAAAAAGCCACACTGAGGGGGGTAAAAAGCCACTGAGGCGGGGGCAAAAAGCAGCGGGAGCGGGGGCAAAAAAAACACAAAAAGCCGCGGCGGCTGGGGGAAAAAGCCGTGGTGGCAGGGTGCAAAAAAGCTGCAGCGACAGGGGCGAAAAGCCCCGGCGGCGGAGGCAAAAGACTGCGGCAGAGGGGGCAAAAAGCTGCGGCAGTGGCGGTTAAAAAAAGCCACGGCGGCAAAAACCCGCGGCGGTGGGGGTAAAATCCCGTAGTGGCGGGGGAAAAAACAGCGGTGGCAAAAAGTCACGGAAGCGGGGGCAAATAGCCCTGGTGGCGGGTGCAAAATGCCGCAGCGGTGAGGACAAAAAGCCGTGGCTTCAGGGACAAAAAGCTGCAGCAGCGAAAAGCTGTAGTGGCGGGGGCAAAAAGCCACGGCAGCGGCGGGGGGGCAAAAAGCAGCGGCGGCGGGAACAAACACCGCCGCGGCAAAAAGCCTCAGTGGCGGGGGCGAAAAGCCGCGGCGGCGGGGGAGAAAAGCCACAAAAAGCCATGGTGGCGAGGCTAAAAAGCTGTGGCTTTGGGGGCAAAAAGCCACAGCCTCAAAAAACCATAGTGGTGGGGCAAAAAGCTGCGGTGGCGGGGACAAAAAGCAGCAAGAGCGGGGGCAAAAAAATCACAAAAACCCGCGGAGACGGGGGGAAAAATCCACGGGGGCAAAAAGCCGCAAAAAGCAGCAGCGGCAGGGGCAAAAACCGCGGCGGCAAATAGCCTCAGTGGCAGGAGCCAAAAGCCATGGTGGCGGGGGCAAAAAGCCGTGGTGGTGGGCCCAAAAAGCCGCGGTGGTGGAATAAAACTGTGACTGCAAAAAGCCACGGCGATGGGGATAAGAAGCTGTGGCGGGGGCAAAAAGCCACAGCGGCGGGGAGTAAAATGCCGCAAAAAGCCGCGGTGGCGAGGGCAAAAAGGTGTGGCTTCGGGGGCAAAAAGCTGTAGCGGCTGGGCAAAAAGCCGCGGTGGCGAAGGCAAAAAGCTGTGGCTTTGGGGGCAAAAAGCCGCGGCAGCGGCTGGGGCGGAAAAACCACAAAAATCCGCTGAGACAGGGGGAAAAAGACGCGGGGGCAAAAAGCCGTGGCGACAGGGGGAAAAAATCTGCAAAAAGCAGCAGCGGCAGGGTTAAAAACCGCAGCGGCAAAAAGCCTCAGAGGTAGGAGCAAAAAGCCACGGCTGCGGGAGGGCAAAAAGCCACGGTGGTGGGACCAAAAAGCCATGGCGGTGGGAATAAAAAGCCGCGGCTGCAAAAAGCAGCGGCGGTGGGGATAAAAAGTCGTGACGGCAAAAACCCGCGGCGGTGGGGGCAATAAGCCGTGGCGGCACGGGGAAAAAGCCGTGGCGGCGAGGGCAAAAAGCTGTTGCTTCGGGGGCAAAAAACCACGGCGGCAAAAAGCCCTAGTGGTGGGGCAAAAAGCAGCGGGAGCGGGTGCAAAAAACAAAAACCCGGGGCGACGGGGGGAAAAAGCCGCATGGGCAAAAAGCCGCAGTGGCAGGGGGTCAAAAAGCCACGGCGGTGGGGGGGCAAAAAGCTGCAAAAAGCAGCGGCGGCGGGGGCAAAAACTGCAGAGGCAAAAAGCCTCAGCGGCAGGAGCAAAAAGTCATGGCGGCGGGGGCAAAAAGCCGCGGCGGCTAAAACCCATGGCGGCAGGGTCAAAAACCATGGCTTCGGAGGCAAAGAGCCGCGGTGGCAAAAAGCCGTAGTGGTGGGGGCAAAAAGCCACAAAAAGCCGTGGCGGCAGGGCCAAAAAGCCATGGCGCCAAGGGCAAAAAGCCGTGGCTTCGGAGGCAAAGAGCCGCAGCGGCAAAAAGCCACAAAAAGCCATGGTGATGGGGGCAAAATGCCACGGCGGTGGGGGTAAGAAGCCTCGGCAGCGAGGGCAATAAGCCGTGGCTGGAGAAACCCGCAGCGGCGGGGGCAAAAAGCAACAGCAGCGGTGACGAAAAGCCACAGGGGCGGGGGCAGAAATCCACGAGGCAGGGAAAAAGCTGCAGCAGCGGGGGCAGAAATCCGCGAGGCGGGGAATAAGCTGCAGCGGCGGGGGCAAAAAGGCAGGACGGCGGGCGCAAAAAGCCGCAAAAAGCCCCAGTGGTGGGTCAAAGAGCCGCAAAAAGCCCCAGTGTTGGGGGCAAAAAGCCGCGGCGGCAGTGGCAAAAAGCAGCGGAGGCAAAAACCCACGGCGGTGGCGGCAAAAAGCAGCGGTGGCAAAAAGCCGCGGTGGCAGGGGCACAATAGTGGAAAAGGGGTAGAAGGCCAATGCAGCTTGGCATTCCTGGACTGTGATGTGGAAGGAAAAGTGCAGCGGAAGACGAAGATGTAAGTAGGCTTGACTCAGTGCAGCTAAGAACTCAGATGTTATCTTGATGTTATCTATCAGCTAATTTTTTGTATTTTAGTAGAGAAGGGGTTTTACCAAGTTGGCCAGGATTGTCTGGATCTCCTGAGCTCATGATCCACGCACCTCAGCCTCCCAAAGTGATGGGATTAGAGGCATGAGCCACAAAGTGCTCAAAAAATCTATTAATTAAAAAATGTGTATGTAGCCATCTTCAATCTACCGTGTCCATTAGCAGATAAATACTACAAGGAAAATAACAACAATGAAAGAAACATAGACTTAGAGTAGATACTCTGATTTATTTAATAAAAATTTGAAAGTAGACCAAATTACTCTATGATAAAAAAAAATCTGTTACTATTGAGGATGAGGGTTGGTGTTTGCAAAGGGGCAGAAGTATCACTATTTTTAGTAATGTTCTATTTTCGTACATGGCTATAAGCAAATACATGTGTTTCATTAATCAAGCTATCCATATTTAATCATTGTACTTTTCTGCATGTATGATATATGTCAATAAAATGTCTTAAATTATATACAGCAAAAATAGACAAAACCACAAGAAGACATACATGAATGTTAAACCTAGAGAGAAATTTGAATATAAGTAAGTCTCTGAATGACTGCTAGAACAAACCGAAAAATAATCAGGATGGAGAGGTTTGGAACAGCATGACTAGCAAAATTGACATATCTGTCTTTTAATATAGGCAGAAACATAGTTAGATAAAAAAAGGACTTGTCTCAGAGTATGATTTCTGAAAATAGTGGAATCGAGTTTGAATCTAGGAAGTACATATAAATAAATGTCTTAAAACTCCTCTTATGTTACCTAATTAAGAAATATTATTGTAATAGATATTAGAAAATATTTTAATAAATTGAGTGAATTTCACAAGCTAAGGAAATGATCTTACTTGCATTTGATAGTTCAATTAGATACATATATACCTATAGGTATTTTAAAATATTTCTAATAACCTTATATATTTTAAAAAGCATTGATATCTGTTTGCACTGTCTGGTCTATAGAGTACACATACCAAACATGATTGTAGCTCTTCTGCTATAAACTTCAAATGTCCAATTAATACAAAAATCTAGAATGAGAACAGTTCTTTGCATTTTTTTTTACCAAATAGAATATAGGAAGGATAGCTGCAAATATACCTGACACACTTATCTGTGAGTATGGTGGTAGCATTTTTATTTTATTTTATTTTATTTTTGAGAGAGGGTCTCACTTTGTCACCCAAGATGGAGTGCAGTCATGTGATTAGAGCTCACTGAAGCCTTCACATACTGTGCTCAAGCGATTCTCCCACCTCAGCCTCCTGAGTAGCAGGGACTGCAGGTGCATGACACCATACTAGCTAATTTTTGTGAAGATGGGGTTTCATCATGTTGCGCTGGCTGATCTCCAACTCCTGGACTCAAGAGATCTGGCCACCTTGGCCTCCCAAAATGCTGGGATTATAGTTTTGAGGCACCGCAATCAGCCCAGCCTTAAAAAAGGCTGACTAGAGATCTTTATCTATGTATATATATATCTATCTATAAAATAAACATGTGTTTCTTATATAAAAATATATATTATTAATATTATATAAAAATTTTTTTTCAAGGTAGAAATATATAAAGAGGGTGCATGTAGAGCCTGGGGCATTGTGTAGTGAAGCTCAAGGCCTCTGAAGAAATGCCCCTTGCCTCTTTTGTCTGTGCTAGAATCCGAGAACGAAAAGCAGCAGATGCACTGGTTCCCAGGTTCTTGGCATCCTACAGAGAGAAACTTGTTTGAGCTAGGGTAGCGTTAAACACCCTTGTTCTTACTCTCCTGTTTTATGTAGTGAGCAGAGACTAGCATCATTAGAACAGACTGTGACAGTCAAGGCTGTCTGATATTTTGTGCAGCATTAATTGAGAAATTCTAGCACCTGAAGAACTCTGGGCCATTTGAGGGTAGGTGCAGGGGAGGAAAGGGAAGTTTGCATCCCTCCTGCTGTGGAGAGAACCCGTGGGAAGCACAGACCTTGTCCTAACTGAAGGCAGACCCCCTTGTTAACCCGCTTCTCATCAGCCAACCCTGGATGAGTTTCCATGTCTATTTATTAAATAATCCTTATTGCTTTTCTTCATATGGGCAAAGTATGGTTTACAGGGAATATTGTTCCTTTGAACACCCATTGTGCAAACCCCTTCCTGTTGTGGGAAAACAGGCTTCCATATGTGTATTATTGGGAAACACATAGGCAATTTCTATGTTTTTACTGCATCTATTTCAGGGATATGGGAACTGAATAGTGCCCATCAAAGGCTCACCTGATGTTGGAAATTGATCTGAGAGCGCGGAAGGACAGAATTCTTTCTTTGTTCCTGGGCAGCGGTGGTTGAGGGATCATTTTGTGGCAGCTACAGTGGCAATGATGGAGGCAGAACGGAAGGCTCAGTACCAAGACGAGGAGAGATTTGGCCTCACAATGGCAGCATTGCAGGGGTGCGCTCTACAGAGCATTTGCTCACATGGTTTTGGGCATTGTCTCCAACTACATTTCTTCTCCAATAGGTTGACCCATTCTAACTAACTCCTTTTCTCTTTAAAACAGAAAACTTCATTTGTATGACTTGCAATTGTAAATGACACCAGTTGGTCAGCTATCATTCAAATTCTCTGTTACTTAGTCCTCCCTTTTCCTAACGTATGCAACTTTCCTCTAAAAAATTGGACACTTTGTTGCTTACTCATTGTCTTTACACATTTTAAAATGTTGCTTTATGCCCCCAATCCCTAACTACATTTTCGATGTTTTGCAACTGGAGTCCAGGTGTTCTTGATTTACATGAAACTCAAAATAATGGTTATAGTAACTAGTACTTCATAATTAAGCAAAAAGCTCCTATTGAAAAATGACAGAACTATACATAGAGATGACAACATGGAGAGATATTTCCTGAGATCACAAAGTTATGGTATGGCAGAACTAGAACGTTGAGTAGAGACTCTGTGTTCCCAATCATTATTTCTACCACCAGCTTTCTATTTTGATGTTAATAATGTTCTTATGTGGGAAACCCTATATATTTGCCAATGTTTAGTTCGTTGACAAAGAAATAGAAAGAGCTTCAAGAACACTCTAATCTTTAAAAAATAAAATGTCTATAATCGGCCATACGAAAAAAATTGGTACTTGACATATACTGAGATCGTTTTATTTTGTGCTAGACAAATGAAGTCATAGAACAGAATGTGCTTTAAATATTATGAATAGTGCTTGCGTGTGTGTGTGTGTTTGTGTGTGCGTATGTGTGTTTATAGATGCATATTAGGCCGCTGTAAAGTTTTAGTATTCTTTTCAGGAGAGAGACTGCCAACTTTTGAACCTAATTAGTACAAGTATATTGCTTCTTCATATTTTGATTAAGGCAAAGAGAGTCTAGTTAAACATAATTCAACTTATGGTGGAAATGCTATAAATTGCTGTGAAGTGAGTTGCTGGCTATGGCTTGTCAGAGCAAATATATTGTACAAATCTTAGGGGAGAATTAGTGCTTATGCATTCCAATCAAATCATCTTGCAGCAGACTGAGAAAAAGGTTAGATTTTTAAAATAATGTTGAAGTCATGAAAAGAGCAAATATGCTCAACAAAGAGCCTAGCAACCCTCAATGACCAATTCCCCTTTTATATAGTTTGGTATCTGAATTAGAATCCCAGAATCTACAAATTCCTCTGGGTGTGGGTGTGGGTGTGAGGATTTTATAACACTGCCATCACCAAGCTCTCTTTTGATATTCACTTTAAGGAGATAATTTACGGCCAACCAGAGAGCATAAACCAAAGTAGATATCTATCTAGATAGATAGATACATCTCCATACAATTGACAGGATACGTTCTGGCCGAGTGTGGGTACAACCTATGGGTGTGGTTGGAGAGAACATGTGTTCCACCTGAATGGCAGATCAAGATTATTCCTTCTCATCTGCTGCAATGGCTCAATGTGTTAAGGAGAGGAGCGAGACAGCAAGAACTGCATTCATTCAGTCATACAGACCAAAAGGAGGAATGTCGCCCAGCCCCCTAAACTGACCCAGAACCCAGCTCATGTCTCAACTGCTACCTCTACTACTTAGAAAGAAGTAACTCCACCAAAGCAGGGTTCTGGACAAATATATTTTTATTGATCTTATACAAATAGATGAAGATGGACTTGGATGTTAAGAAAAATAATACTATTCAAAATCAAGAGAAGACAGTCGCCCCTAGACTTAAATTAAGGGTGTGTACATTAGATAATTTAATCCAATGTATCAGGTAAAAACTTGAACAAATCTTTTGGCCTCTTCCGTAAAATTCAGGGAAGTATGTCCTCCACAAAACAGAATCAAAATATAAATGAAAGACTGGCTTAAGATGAAAGGAAACCTTATAAATGAAAAGAAGCCAGATGAGAGGGACTTAACTGAGAATGAAAAAAAACTGAGTGGACAAAATAATTATGAGAAGATGAATCTTCAAATCAGAAAGAGGGAAAAAAGCTCATTTGATACTATGGGAACTCAAAAGAGAGTGAACACAAATGTGAAAATTCCAAGAGTACAGAAAAGTAGCATAACTAAATTAAGAGCATGAGAAAATGTACACAATTTTGAGTAATAAGAACAGAAATCAAAAGTTAGTATTGTATGTTATATTTTAGTAGAGCAACACTGAAGACGAATGAAAACAAGAAATAATATTAAATATGAACATATGGAGAACAGAATAATATTTTTAAAATTTTATTTTCTAAGTTTACCTGAAATTTTAATTTTGGTTTCTTATGTAATACCAGAGTTATTAGGAAGTTATTAGCTAATAACACTATTTTCAGTGATATTTTAAGTATTTGTCATAGAAAAATTTCTATTTTTGAAAAATGTATATTTAAAAATACATTAAATTTGTATATACATCAATCATATGTATCGATTTATGTTTTTTTTGAATTGCAAATGAAATTTGTATTTTTGAGTTCCTGGAATAAAATAAACTTGAATGGATTGTAATATATTATTCATGCTGTAATTCAATGTATTTGAATTCTTTAAGAATGTTACATTTATAGTTAACAGATATTGACCTATAAATTTTCTTTCCTATAATGATGCTGTGAGACAATCTAAGAAGAATTAAAATTTAAATTCATGTATTCCTCCTTTTTCCTCTGTTCTCTAACTGTAATATATTTTAATTACAGATGGAGGAACAGATAGATGTTAGATAAATAGGTATATAATATATAGATCATCCAAAATTCTTATTCTTATGGTTTTATGTAGTCAGTATTTACCTCTATTTTTCTGCATGTTTATCCTTCCAATTTAGTTCATTACTTCCTGCACCTTTGATGTCATATACATAAACAGGAAATAACACATGGTGGCCAGGATGTAGAGAGAGCCACAGGACTTGTGAATAAAATCCACAGGCAAGGATGTGGCGATTCGTTTTGCAATATTGGAGGGAATGCCAAACCCTATGTTTGCTGTGGAAAAGAGTATGTTAGTTCGTCAAAACATCAAAATGGTATTGCCATATGATTCAGCAGCTCCACATCTCAGGATAGCAAAGTGACTGAAAGCAAAGTCTTGAAAAAATATTTTCACATCCATGTTTGCAGCAGCGTTATTGGCAATAGCTAAAACGTAGAAGCAATTGAAGTGTCCAACAACAGATGAATGGATAAGCACAATATGATATATACATACAATGGAATATTATTCAGCCTTAAACATGAGGGAAATATTCTGACGTATGTTGCAACTTGGAAGAAACTTGAGGATATTATGCCAAGTGAAATAAGTTAGTCAGTGAAGGACAAATACAGTATAATTCCATTTGTATTAAAGTGGACAGAATCATAGAGATGGTACAATGATGGTTGCCAGAAGCTGGGGGGAGGAAGAAATGGAGAAGTATTGTTTAATGGGTATAGAGTTTCAGTTTTACAAGATGAAACGAATTATGGAGATGGATGGTAGGGACGGCTGCACAATGTTATGACTATATTTAGTACCACTGAACTGTACACTTAAAATGGTTAACAGAGTACATTTTATGTTATGTGTATTTTACCACAATAAAAAAATAAAATACCTTAGGAACATTTTCATGAAAAAGCCCACATAAAATTCATTTTAATGCATGTGTTTATGCATAGCTTTCTATTTTTATCTTTTCTCTTTGTATTCCAAATTAAAAAAAAGATGTTTTAATTCCAAATTAAAAAGGTGTTTATATTCCAAATTAAAAAAATCCAAAGTTACAGTCAACTACACAAAAAAAGCTTAGTCTCATTAATCATTATGAAAATGCAAATGGTAACTGAAAGAAGATAAAACTACAATTCAAAGAGAAAGCCTAAAATTTCAACCCCCCAAAAAGTCTGAGTTTTGGAGATCTGGGATGGAATAGGGTTCCTAACCTGACAACAATGAAACAACCAAACTAACTTCAAAGTCATGACTTTATTTTTATAGCAACGAGGTTGCCAAGAACTGAGTCAAAATGTGAGGGAAAACAAGCACTTGCAAGGAGAAAGAGGACAGATGCACGTACATAGGATAGATGCAAATAGACACCACTATGACAAGTAAAGCTGGAATAATCAATAAATTCCTAAAGACAAAGTGGGGCTGGTCAGATTGGGAGACCGCTGACAGCTGCAGAAATTGGGAAAGATCCATCATCTTGAAAACTTTTTCCCCACAAACCCACTGTGATCTGTCAAGCAATTGGTAAGGAATCCAAGAGAGTCTGTATATGACACAGATCAGGGAGAGCAGAACACTTGGGAGGTGACCAGGTCTTGGGAGCCGAGCCCTTATGAATGGGATTAGTGCCTTTATAAAAGAAGCTCAATGGAGTTCTTGTGTGCCTTCCACTATGTGAGGACATAGAAAGAAGGCACCATCTATGAACCATGAAATTGGCTCTCATCAACACTGAATTTCTGAGCATCTTGACCTGAGATCTTACAGCCTCAAGAAGTGTGAAAAAAGAAATATCTGTTGTTTTTTAGTCACCCGGTTTATGTTATTTTGTTATAAGAGTCCAAATAGACCAAGATATTCCACTTAATATGTAGGGGAAGGCAACAAAAACTGCCACACTTAGAATACTCCTGATGCTGGGAGTATGAAAACAGGAAAAACAAAACAAAACTGCTCTTGAAGGTGAAGGAGGAATATCACTGAGCTCACCAACACAACCAGGAAAAGAACAGAAGTGTGAGAAGGCTACATTCCTGAGACCCTGAGAAAAAGTACCTGCGTAAGACTGAGATGAAATTACATACCCTAGTTATGATTGAAATCCCAAAAAGAAAAGAGGAAAAAATAATGGAGCAAAAGAAATATTTTTCAAAATAACTGCCCAAAATATTCTAAAATAAGTTACAGAAAATCAAACTTCAAATATAGGAAACTCAGAGAATGTCAAATAGAACAAAAAGAAATAAGAATTCCATCTTGAAAAATCTTTAAAAAATCAACTCTAAATTTTATATCTTGCTCCAAATATATAGAGATATAAATAGGTTATCATCAAGATGTGGAGAAAGCCATATCATGGAAACACTAAAATAAAGCTGTGGAAGGACTACATTGATATTAGACACAACAGAGTTCGGAACAAGAAATAGTATCAGAGATGAGAGATAATAGATAATAGAATAATCAATTCTCAAGAAGATGTAAACATCCTACTAATTAGGGTATGCAGCTAACAACAGAACCTCCAAATACATGAGGTAAAACATGAAAGAAATAAAAGGTGAACTAGAAAAATCCAAAATTATATTTGCAGACTTCATCTCTTTTGTCTTAGTAATGGAAAGACTAGGCACAAACTCAGTAATCATGTGGAAGTTAAGAACAACAATATCACCAACAAGACATCCAATCTTCAATGGCAGATACTCTTTCCTTTCAAGTGAAAAAAAAAAAAGTATGGCATATTCTCTAACAAACCCAGAATTTTTAATATTTGCGTTCTTCCTTCCTTCTTTCCATCTTCCTTTCTCTTCTCTTCCCTTCCCTTGCCTTCTTCCTTCCTTTCTTCTTTTCCTCTTCCTTTTCTTTTCTTTTTTCTTTTCCTTTCTTTCTTTTCTTTCTTTTTTCTCCTTCCTTCCTTCTTTCCTTCTCTCCCTCTTTCCTCTTATTCTTCCTTCCTTCCTCCCTCCCTTCCTTTCTCCCTCCCTTTTCTTCCTTTTCTCATAATCTTTCTTTCTTTCTCACGTTTTCTTTCCTTTTTTCTCCCTTCCTCCCGCCCTCCTTTTCTTCCTTCCTCCCTCCCTTCCTTTCCTCTTTTTCCTTCCTTCCTTCGCCTCTTTATTTTCTTTGTTTCTTTGCCTTCCTCCCTTTTACCATTCTCTCTTCCTCCTTTCCTTCCTCCCTTCCTCCTTTCTTCCTTTCTCTGTTTCTGTTTCTTTCTCTTTCTTTCCTTCTTTCTTTCTTGTGTTCATGCTTTCTTTTTTCTCCCTTCCTGCCTTTCTTCCTTCCTCCCTCCCTCCCTTCCTTCCCTCATTTCCTCCTTCTTTTCTTTCTTCTTTCTTTCTTTATTTCCTTCCTTCCTTCTTTTTCTTTCTTTGTTTTCTTTTCTTTCTTTCTCTTTACTACAATTCATATTATTTTAAAAAAAATTAAGAGAGGGAGACAGAAAAATAAAGAACGCTTTAATCTGCAGGTAAATTGATTATGTCTTCTGTAGGCAAAAGAATGTCCTCCCCAAAATTTTCATGTCCTAATTCCCAGAGTCTAACATACAAATATGTTAGGTTGCACGGCAGTGTGAAATTAGATTTCAAGTGAAATTAAGGTTGCGGAAAACTGATAGAGAGATTGTCTTAAATGGGTGGGATCAATGAAATCACAAACTTCCTTATAAGTGAAAGAAGAAGGCAAAAGAAAGGCAACCTTGGAGGTGGTGGCATGAGAAATTACTCAACATCACTGAATTTTAAGATACAAGAATGAGGACCCAGCATGGTGGCTCACGCCTAATCCCAGTACTTTGGGAGGCTGGGGTGGGTTTATCACGAGGTCAGGAGATCGAGACCATCCTGGCTAACATGGTGAAACCCCATCCCTACTAAAAATACAAAAAATTAACTGGGCATGGTGGCAAGTGCCTGTAGTCCAAGCTACTCAGGAAGCTGAGGCAGAAGAATCACTTGAAGCCGGGAGGCAGAGGTTGCAGTGAGCTGAGATTGTGCCACTGCACTCCAGCCTGGGTGACAGAAGGAGACTTCATCACAAAAAAAAAAAAAAAAAAGAAAAATAGGATATAAGAATGAGTTCATGTTCCAAGGAATAAAGGTGGCCTCTGGATGCCGGAAAAAATCAAGTAATAGATTCTGCTACATAGCCCTCAGAAAGACTGCAGCCCTGTCCAAAACTTGATGTTATCCCTGTGAGTTTCATTTAAGGCTTCTGAACTACAGAACTGTAGGATTAACGGTCACTGTATTGTAAGATATGAAGTTTGTGGTAATTGGTTACAGCAGCAAGAGGAAGTTTATATTGTAATTGTATCATGAAAATGGGAACCATAATTTACAACTGCTTTTAATACTTCACTTGGATGTTTAAAATCATGTACATGGAAATGATCTCTATGTGCATGAGGGATGATAGCAAATTGATGCCAAAATAATGCAAACGCAAATCTTACACTCATTTCTATGTAGGTTTCATTTAATCTTTGAAATTAAAATGAAATTAAAAGATTGTGATCTTTTGATGAAATTAGACTAAAATGAACAATAACAAAATAAGAACTTACTTATATTCTTTATATGGTCAATAAAGAAGTGATGGTGGAAAAAAACAAGATCAAATGAAGGTGATGATTTAGGAAGTTGGAAAGATAGTTGAAACTACAAAATGGTATATAACCAGTGAACACTTAGACACACTGATTGATGAACTTCAGCTTTTGGCTTGCTGAGAGCATAAAATGAGAGCAGCTGAGGTTTGCAAATTTGTAATCTCCTTGTGGAAAAACAGGGGAAAACACATCTCAGCCTAATAAGATTTATCTACTAAAGAGTCTAGACTTGATCCATTTGTCCTTGTAATTCAAAAGCTAATTCAAATACTGATTTGATGTATTGTGTGAACAACCATTGCTGATTATCATCGCATACCTGGCATTCTCTTTTATCTGATATCTAAAATATTTGGTAATTCCTGGACTTTCTCTTTTCAAACCCAGTATGGTTTAATTTGAGTCTTAGAACAGTAGTCTTTGAGAAATTCTTCCCTCTACTGCATCTGTGAATGGGCATAGCATAGTTACATACATACTGTCACTCCATAGAACATTTGTTAAATTAAAGCCAAAGTTTAAAGCAAGAGCTTTAACTTACTGGTTTTACTAATGTATTCCTCCCCAATAGCCACAACAATATTTATACTCTCACACCTTTTAGCATAAAGCTTGGTGTTGTCTATTTTTCAGGTGCTGTCATCTATATGATCTCAGTATTTTAAAAACCAGCTTCCAGCCCATATGGTGGTTCATGCTTGTAATACCAGCAGTTGAGGGGGCTGAAATGAGAGGATTCCTTGAGCCCAGGAGTTCAAAAGCAACCTGGGCAACATAGCAAGACCCAGTCTCTATCAAAGGTTAAAAAAAAAAGTGGGCATGGTGATGTGCACCTGTTATCCTAGCTATTTGGGAGGCCAAGGTGGAAGGATTGCTTGAGCTTGGGAGGCTGAGGCTGCAGTGATCAGTGATTGCACCACTGCAATCCAGCCTGGGCAACAAAGCAAGACCCTATCTCAAAAAATATATATAATGAAAATGAAAATCAGCTCTCATTGATTTCTATGTAAATATGCACAGGTGATGTCCATATAGACATAAATAATAATATTTCTGACAATGGGTCCATATGATCTTCAAAATGTAAAATGCCTATCTGTGTAATTTACTGGTTAGTCTCATTAATGAATATAGATTCAATTCTACTTTCTTGTTCTAGATAAATTATATAATCTAGCTTTTCATTTCACTTATTTACTGATAACAACAGGAGGAATGAAAAGATATCTATTTTGGAAAATTACTCTGGTAGGAGTAAACATGAAACAATGATAGAATTGCACGGAAAACTAGAAAAAAGTATGGTCTTCTGATATTCTATCACATCACATACTAAAGTCCTCATAAAACTCAGATATTTTATCTAAAAATGTTATTTTCATCATAGGAATGATCAAAGCATGATACTACAATTGTATTAAAATGTGCTTGTATCACAAGCACAGGTGCTAAAAAGGAGGGGAAAACATCATTACTGATATTTTCAACGTATGTTTTACTTTCCTTCAACATGAACCTCAACTTGATATGATGCAGATTGAAGGAAATCACCCATAATTCCATATGAAGAAGGCCTGTGATATTTTATGGGAAAATAAATAGAGAAAATGCTAACAGAAGCCCTATTAAGCATGAAGCTTTATGGAGCAAACACAAATCCAGTGGTGAAAGATACACACTAGAGTTCTGTTTGTTGTCCTGGAACAATACGGTTTAGAGGTGACTGGCGGGTGAGGAGAACATATGCGAGTTCACCAAAGAGAAAAGCTGAATGAGGCAATGCCTCTTCCTGACCATATCTCTTACTCAGATAACTATATAATTTATTGTCCAGTAAAGGGTATATTTAAAAATCATATTAAAAGTCATGCAGTGAAGTTGTCCAGGGAAATCAAGACTTAACAGTCTCATTCTGACAAAAATGAACAGGGGGTTTCCCTCAAGATAGACTAGGACATGACCCCACACTGGCAGATAGTAGTACCAGAAAAGAACCCATGGAAAATTTTTACCTTATGCAGGCTAAAGTGAAAGCCAGACATAAAATTCTATCTAAAATAAATCCACAATCGTAGAAAATATGTGGTGTACAGGCATAGAATGTCTTTACTGGATCATTGAAATAGTAAGATAAATTCAACTTTTTACATTGTTTTCTTTTCCTCCAGTTAGGGCTTGAGGTTTGTCTCTGGAGAGTGACTGTCAATTGGAGCCCTGTCTTTCTGGGGTTCTGGTCAGGGGGTTGTGGATGCTTAACATGTGCCTTTCACAGGACATTTCCTTACCCCAGCAGTGGCCAGGTGTGCATTCCACGACCAGGCCTCCCTCTCACAGAACATCTGTTGAGACTAGGAGATTCCTGGTGACTGTTGCCTGACTTGTGTCCTGTGTATTTCTGACAAGAGCCCCTCTCAGAGACCCTGGCCAGGAGGAGAGTTAGGTTCCAGTGTAGGTCAGCTCAGACCCATGGAGGCCACAGAACCAAACATGGGAAATCACAGAAGTAGGTTTATTACTCACAGATCCAGAGAGAAGAGGGTAGCTGAGAAGAGGGTTTAGCTGTGTCCTCAGCCAAATCTCATCTTAAATTCCCACATGTTGTGGGAGGGAACAGGTGGGAGGTAATTGAATCATGGGGGCAGGTCTTTCCCATGCTGTTCTTCTGATAGTGAATAAGTCTCACAAGATCTAATGGTTTTATAAAGGGGAGTTTCCCTGCACAAGCTCTCGTCTTGTCTGCTGCCATGTGAGACGTGCCTTTCACCTTGTGCCATGATTGTGAGGCCTACCCAGCCATGTGGAGCTGTGCATCTATTAAACCTCTTTCTTCTGGAAATTACCCAGTCTTGGACATGTCTTTACTGGTGGTGTGAAAATGGACTAATACAGTAGCACACCTCATAGGGCTGAACAAAATGGGGAAGATGAGTGGGGAGCAGGAGAGAGAAAAGTGGTCTGTGGGACTCCAGCCTTTATTGGGTCCAGATCATTACCCATATAAGTTTTCCACGGGGCACTAGTCGGTGGGGTGAGTGCCAGCAGGCACATTTCTTGACTCCCGCTGCAACTGAGCAGGTCACTCTGGCGTGTGGGGGCTGTCCATGTGCGCTGTGAGGTCTGTGGGGTGAGTCAGGTAGGTTGTATCCAACGGTTCCATAGCTGGTAGTCACCAGGAGGAGGCAACTGTGTAGGGTCGATATCTGGGCAAGCCACACTGAGGAACTGTGAGGGTTAGAACTGGAAATTGTCAAGAGAATCTGAACCCAGCTACCATATGAGAGAGTTCAACTTATGTTCAATGTGAATGCCATGGCAATATTAAAAAGTAAGAATTCACTCCATACGTGCTTGAGGTAAATAGGAGAAACCTAGAATTTATGTAAACAGTGAGAAGATTGGATGCGTTTTCCATCACATATTTTAATACTAGCAGCATATGATATATGTCAATCCATCAGGCATTCAGAAATACATGCTTATGAAAAATTTTTGCACCATCAGACAAAAGACAAGGGTAGAAGACATTTGTAACCCTATAAACACTAGTAAATTAAAAACAGAAGGACCTTTATGTCCTAACATATCTGTGTTGTGAAAGGCTGCCCTGTGAAATACGAGATTTCTTAAACATATTTTAAAAATCATAGGTGTCAATATTTTTTAGAAATCAATTTAAATTTTCTCTTGCTATTTTACAATGCCTATTTATTTATTTAGTGGCTCTGCTGATTTTGACGTATATCCTAAACTTTATATTTTCTTTAAAGGATGTTTTATACAACTTTATGTAAAATGTTTCAGTATCTTCACATTCTCTCCCTGTCCTTTTGTTTTGCTCTTATATGGTGGTCTTGAGTCTTTTCTCTGGCTTTTCAAACCTAGTAAGACTAAGACACTAAAGTAACTTTGCCCGTGGTTTGGTAATGCCTTCTAAAGCACATCCTAAGCTCTCGTGCATAGGGGGGCCTCCTTTGAGCTCTGTGCTTTTGAGATCCCATATACCTAAATTCCAGTACTCCAAATCAGTACTGCTCAGTTTTAGTTACTAAGTTTAAAAATGTAATTTAATAGCAAGTTAGTTTAGTGCACTCTTGCTTCTTTCTTGACTGCTTGTATACATGTATATTCCTTTAAATGAATCTTGGAACTTATTTAAAAATTTTAAATTATACTAATGAAACTGTATATTGTTGTGAATTCATAAGTGAATGTGGAAAGAATTTGTCTTTATGATAGTAAATCCTTTTTATCCAAGAATCATATGTGTCTTTATATTTATTCCAGTCTATATTTATATCACTGAGTAAATATATAGAAATGTAGATACATACAGCTGTAGTTCTAGATACAAATATAGATATAACATGTTAAATCTATATCTATCCCATATAACATATATACATGTTATATTTGTGTGTGTATATATATATGTTTATATTATTAAAGAGCTCCCTTAAAATTTTTCTTTTATTTCCTATATAATTTTAGGTCGAGCTTGAATTTTCCTTGTATAAACAAGCAAATATTTATACTAGTTTTAATACTGATGTTTAGGCATTCTATCTTATTTTAACATTGAATATTTTCACAATTATTATAAATATTATCTAATATTAATAATGTACCTGTTAAAAATATTTAAAATTTTACCTTTGAATTATTTTATTGTTGAATTAAAATTCCTTTAATATGATAGTAAATTTCTATTTCATGCTTTCTCTTTGCATATGCAAATTAATCTATCCACTTCTCTATCTCTATGTAGTAACATATGAAAATCAGGCCTCTCTTCTTCTAATGGACATACACATGTTTGCATATAGAATATCAGACTCTTTATAGCATTTAAAATCTTTAAAGACATGAATATTGCCTTTTAACAAATATATTTTAGCATGTACTGAGAATCCCCTATTTATTTTTAATTTGGGCTAATCAATATGATTATTAATATTATTGGATTACCAAATTTGGAAACACACTTTCATCCCCAAGGTGGATATTTGTTTTTTTTTTTTTTTTGCCAATTTCTTCTCTTACTGTTTCAAACATTGTTGGATATTATTTTTATTTTATTTGGCATTTTAGTATCAACATTTCTAATTGATGTACTCTACATATTTTTTCTTCAATATCTGGTGGGTTTTATAATTACTGCTATGTTGGATTTGTAGTAGCCATTGACAAAAATTATTCCTGTATGTTTTATAGCTGTATGAAGGAAACTAATATATTTTACCCCTAAATATATTTCCTTGATATATTTCAAAATGGCTATTGAGAAGGGCTGGAAATGCAACCTTAGCTGCAAAGCTGTCTTGGGGATATTTGCATCAGTAGAGAATCTGCCTTGATGCAGCCAGGCTTTCTCTGAGGTCTGCCCCTTGTCTGGATCTAGGAAAGGTTAACTGAGAGTCTGAGGTCCCCAAAAGGTCTGAAAGAAACATTTTCTGTCTATTCTCTCTGAGGACTGCTCCCAGTGAGGTTCCACCTATGTAATAAGTCCACTGTTGCTAGCCAGCGTCATTTTCTCACATAACCTTTTTTTTTTTTTCCCTGTGATCCAAGACCCCATTCTTTCTGTTAACTTCATGTGGTAAATAAGCTTCTGCACGCATCGTGTGTCTGGGTCTTCGTTCTAAGGGCTCCAGTGTACACACATTGCAGAAACCTGTATGCCTTTTCTATTTATCTGCCTCCTATTAGTGATTTTCAGGGAAACTTCAGAAGGCAAAAGGGACATTCTCCTTTAGCCCATTCTCATACAAAATCTCCCAACATTTAACTGATTCTTAATAGCTTAAAATCACTTTGAAAAATCCATATATTTATAACCTTTTCTTCCCTCTATGATTTCTGGTCAGCTTGGGTTTTGTTTTTCATTCCATTTATTCATCCTCGAAAAGATCTATTTTACGTCTATTTATTCTCATTTATGGACATTGAGAAAAGAAAATAACTTTCATGTGAGAAATGCAAGTCCTTTTAAATAATCAGGCCCAGAGAGATATTCAAATGAGACAGCAGTTCTGTCCTGCTCCTCTTTGAGCTGTGTGTTCATCTAGGCTGCTTGCTGTTGCCACTGTAGCTATAAATTAACCAATAACGCCACACCAGACACTATAATCCACACCCAATAATAGTGTAACAGTGTATAGCCAGTCACTAATAAATGTTATTTCCATAAGCCAATGAGAATTTGTGACAAACCTCTTTGCATCATCCCACTTCTGGACCCTTTTTTGCCTTTAAGAAACTGCTTGTTGCAAAGCTCCAAAGGGAGTTCATATCCAAGGATACTTGGGTCTGTTTCTTCCAGGCAGCTGTCCTCGTTTTGGCTCAAGTAAACTCTTTGAATTACCTTTTGTGCTTCAGCCCCTTCCACTTAGATTAACAACATGGATTTGTGTCACCATGTACGGCAATTAAAATGTTTACACTTTTCCCCTCGAGGGCACTGATGTGTTTTCCTGAGCACTTGGAATAGCTACGTAGTGTTTGCTGTCTAGATTATGGTTTCTCAACCTTGGTGCTACTTACCTTTAGGACCAGAGGATTCTTTGTTGTGGGAGGCTGCCCTAGCAATGCTAGGTGTTTCGTTTGACCTCTAAATTTCACACCTCCACCAGTCTTGACATCCCCACAATAACCCTAGACATTGACAAATGTCTCCTGGGGAAAACTCTCCACCAGTTGACAGGCAAAGTTCTGGAAATATTGGAATTGTCAATTGAGATTTTATGTTATCCAAAACAAATATTTTTCTTTGTTTTTAAACATCTACTTCCATCTACTTATCTACTTATTTTTACTTTTATTTGTAACTTAATTCCATCAAGGAGAGAGAGTGCATTTTCTGTTATGCTAAATTTTTGAAGAATGTATTGATTTTTTATGACCTGATATATGGATGATATGTAGATATTACATGTTTGTATTATCAAATTTCAGGGCGATAATAAAATAAATACTTATAATATTTATATAGTCACTGTATATTAGTTATTTTCTTTCTTCACTACAGGAGTTTTTCAACCTATAGGCTATTTTTCAATTCTAGGTTATCCAGTAGATTTTGAAATGTTATGATTAAATATCTACTTCTGAAGCATTCATCTTTGCAAATGAAACAATCCCAAGCTCTTATAATGCACATCATATAAAGGGCAGATTAGTCAATATATGGTTCAGAAATAATTATGTAATATTTATAAGAAAATTAAAAATTTAGATCCTTAACTCAGATAACAATAATCCAAATTAAAATTTGATTTCATTACATAATGTAAAATGACACCAGAATACTAGTAAAAATGTAGATAAGTTTATATAATCTTTTTTAGCTGTAGGACTTTATTAGCATAAATTCAAATACAGGAACCAAAGTAAGATTGAGACCTATAGTCAAAGGTTAAAATGTACACATTATAGGGGCATGATTAAACTAATTTAAAGCATAATAACATGGAGAAATATTGCAAAACATACATTTTACTGAATTGTTAATATCTAATCATTATGTGAGAACAAAATTAAAGAGTAGCTACACACGCACACACCCACACACAAATGCAATATTGTCAAATAAACGATGTTCAGCTACACTAGAAATCACAACTGTGTTTTCTCCAGAGAAAAGATTAAAAATCACAATAATATTTATTGTACATATGGAGGTAAAGATACTCAAAATATTACCCTAAAATACATTTTTTTTTGAGATGGAGTTTTGCTTTTATTGCCCAGGCTAGAGTGCAATGGCACAATCTTGGCTCACTGAAACCTCAGCCTCCCAGGGTCAAGTAATTCTCCTAGCTCAGCCTCCCAAGTAGCTGAGATTACAGGCATGCACCACCACACTCTGCTAATATTTTGTATTTAGTAGAGACGGGGTTTCACGATGTTGGTCAGGCTGGTCTCCAACTCCTGACTTCAGGTGATCTACCCACTTCAGCCTCCCAAAGTGCTGGGATTACAGGCGTGTGCCTGGGCAGCTTTTTGACATATTTCAAGATGGCTACTCGGAAGACTGGAGATAGCTTCTTCTACAAGAATAGCTGAAAAGCTGTGTTTGTTGGGGAGATTTGCATTCGTAGAGAAAATCTGCATTGATATAGACAGGCTTTCCCTGAGATACTCACATGTCTGGGTTTAGGAAAGATTAACTGAGCCTGGCACGTTTACATTTCTAAAAACCATTTCCTATCTATACTTTCCAAGAGAAGGGCTGCTCCCTGTGAGGTTTCATCCATGTAACAAGACAACCTCTGCTGCCAGGCTCCTCTTTCTTCCTTGTCGTCACCTGTCTTCCGCAAAGCCTGATTTACCAACCTACAGCTCTGTGTTTTCTGTAACCTCAAGACAGCATAGGCGAGTTGACTACCTTGCCTTTCCTGGAGTTTTTATATATATAGTATATATTTGTATATCTATTTATAATATACAAATATTTGTATAGATATATTTATATATATTATGTAAACTCCAAGTGCATACTTGTGTACATATCTGTAAACCTTTCTTTCCTGTTAATTTGTACATTATCAGTTTGTTTTATAGACTCAAATAATTAAAGCTTCAAGGGAAAAAGTTAAACTTTCCTATAGAGAAAAGACAAATATATAGGTGACAAATAATATTTAGAGTGTAAGATGCTTTTTAAAGGTATATTTGCAATTTGTGTCAAAACATTTAAATATACATTTGTTATTTTAACTATAAAATTTCAAATAATTTAAGCCAAATACATAGTATATGCAGAAAATTTAGCAATATATCTATGTAGCACCTTACTGTGCATTACTGTAACCAGCCGTCTAATATAAAGAATTAATTAAGGTAGCAGCTACTTTTCAAATAGCGCATTTTTTTCACAGACCTATTAAATAAGACAAATAACATTTAAACTTTATTTTTAAATTTGCAGAATAGTAGTTTTCAGCAGATGGTTTATTTTAGCAAATTCCATCTTCACATTGTGCTATGCTTTTATGAGTTCCAGCTGTTAACGGATAATATTTTAGTGCTGAAACTATCATGTGTGATATAATTGCTCATTATGTGCCTTAAAACACAAGCAATATAATTATTTTCAACTTGGAGCAAATTAAAATCTTATCAGCAATTTAAAAACTCTAGAGTCGTCTTCTTCTGGTTAATTATTTTAAACTTGTATTTTTCTCTTTATGTTTTTAGTGAGTTGTCTTATCAAGGAGAAGAACTCAAGCTGATTATTCTTTTTTTTTCTCTTCCATCCACCTCGCAGGTGTGTTAATAATTTCATTTCTGAGAAAATGTTCTTTCATATCCATCTTACAAGATGAGAGACCTTTTAACGTCTTTCATTCCGATGTGATACCAGTAATGGAAAATATTCCAGCTTCACGAATATGGTGATACAAATAGTTATCCATCTAACCTCTGTCAGTGCCAAATGTTTACTTTACTCAGTGAATTACTCAGTTGACTGGTAATTTCTTCTGAAATCACTAATGAGAGGGTCAGAGGTCTGGCTGTGGTCTGTACCTCATGTGACTCCCAGTGCAGACAATTGTTTCTATGGAGCACAGACAGTTGAAAGGATTGACTTCCTGCCTAGAATAGTTTCTGCTGTGCTCCTTATCTTTCTTTCTTTTTTTTGTTTTTATTATACTTTAAGTTTTAGCGTACATGTGCACAATGTGCAGGTTAGTTACATATGTATACATGTGCCATGCTGGTGCACTGCACCCACTAACTCGTCATCTAGCATTAGGCATATCTCCCGATGCTATCCCTCTCCCCTTCCCCCACCCCACAACAGTCCCCAGAGTGTGATATTCCCCGTCCTGTGTCCATGTGATCTCATTGTTCAATTCTCACCTATGAGTGAGAATATGCGGTGTTTGGTTTTTTGTTCTTGCGATAGTTTACTGAGAATGATGATTTCCAATTTCATCCATGTCCCTACAAAGGACATGAACTCATCATTTTTGATGGCTGCATAGTATTCCATGGTGTATATGTGCCACATTTTCTTAATCCAGTCTATCATTGTTGGACATTTGGGTTGGTTCCAAGTCTTTGCTATTGTGAATAATGCCGCAATAAACATACGTGTGCATGTGTCTTTGTAGCAGCATGATTTATAGTCCTTTGGGTATATACCCAGTAATGGGATGGCTGGGTCAAATGCTATTTCCAGTTCTAGATCCCTGAGGAATCGCCACACTGACATCCACAATGGTTGAACTAGTTTACAGTCCCACCAACAGTGTAAAAGTGTTCCTATTTCTCCACATCCTCTCCAGCATCTGTTGTTTCCTGACATTTTAATGATTGCCATTCTAACTGGTGTGAGATGGTATCTCATTGTGGTTTTGATTTGCATTTCTCTGATGGCCAGTGATGGTGAGCATTTTTTCATGTGTTTTTTGGCTGCATAACTGTCTTCTTTTGAGAAGTGTCTGTTCATGTCCTTCGCCCACTTTTTGATGGGGTTGTTTTTTTCTTGTAAATTTGTTTGAGTTCATTGTAGATTCTGGATATTAGCCCTTTGTCAGATGAGTAGGTTGTGAAAATTTTCTCCCATTTTGTAGGTTGCCTGTTCACTCTGATGGTAGTTTCTTTTGCTGTGCAGAAGCTCCTTAGTTTAATTAGATCCCATTTGTCAATTTTGGCTTTTGTTGCCATTGCTTTTGGTGTTTTAGACATGAAGTCCTTGCCCATGCCTATGTCCTGAATGGTAATGCCTAGGTTTTCTTCTAGGGTTTTTATGGTTTTAGGTCTAACGTTTAAGTCTTTAATCCATCTTGAATTGATTTTTGTATAAGTTGTAAGGAAGGGATCCAGTTTCAGCTTTCTACATATGGCTAGCCAGTTTTCCCAGCACCATTTATTAAATAGGGAATCCTTTCCCCATTTCTTGTTTTTCTCAGGTTTGTCAAAGATCAGATAGTTGTAGATATGTGGCGTTATTTCTGAGGGCTCTGTTCTGTTCCATTGATCTATATCTCTGTTTTGGTACCAGTACCATGCTGTTTTGGTGACTGTAGCCTTGTAGTATAGTTTGAAGTCAGGTAGTGTGATGCCTCCAGCTTTGTTCTTTTGGCTTAGGATTGACTTGGCGATGCGGGCTCTTTTTTGGTTCCATATGAACTTTAAAGTAGTTTTTTCCAATTCTGTGAAGAAAGTCATTGGTAGCTTGATGGGGATGGCATTGAATCTATAAATTACCTTGGGCAGTATGGACATTTTCACGATATTGATTCTTCCTACCCATGAGCATGGAATGTTTATGCCAGGCAGAGACACAACAAAAAAAGGGAATTTTAGACCAATATCCTTGATGAACATTGATGCAAAAATCCTCAATAAAATACTGGCAAAACGAATCCAGCAGCACATCAAAAAGCTTATCTATCATGATCAAGTGGGCTTCATCCCTGGGATGCAAGGCCGGTTCAATATACGCAAATCAATAAATGTAGTCCAGCATATAAACAGAGTCAAAGACAAAAAACACATGATTATCTCAATAGATGCAGAAAAAGCCTTTGACAAAATTCAACAACCCTTCATGCTAAAAACTCTCAATAAATTCGGTATTGATGGGACGTATTTCAAAATAATAAGAGCTATCTATGACAAACCCACAGCCAATATCATACTGAATGGGCAAAAACTGGAAGCATTCCCTTTGAAAACTGGCACAAGACAGGGATGCCCTCTCTCACCCCTCCTATTCAACATAGTGTTAGAAGTTCTGGCCAGGGCAATTAGGCAGGAGAAGGAAATAAAGTGTATTCAATTAGGAAAAGAGTAAGTCAAATTGTCCCTGTTTGCAGACGACATGATTGTATATCTAGAAAACCCCATTGTCTCAGCCCAAAATCTCCTTAAGCTGATAAGGAACTTCAGCAAAGTCTCAGGATACAAAATCAATGTGCAAAAATCACAAGCATTCTTATACACCAACAACAGACAAACAGAGAGGCACATCATGAGTGAACTCCCATTCACAATTGCTTCAAAGAGAATAAAATACCTAGGAATCCAGCTTACAAGGGATGTGAAGGACCTCTTCAAGGAGAACTACAAACCACTGCTCAAGGAAATAAAAGAGGATACAAACAAATGGAAGAACGTTCCATGTTCCTTATCTTTCTTGTGGAGATTTCAGATAATCTGAATTGCTTTTCTATCTTAAGAAAAAATGCAACAATTCTCCCACCTGAGAGGAATGTAAACTGTAGTAAGTTAGCAGAACCAATCCGTAAAATTTTTACATTGTTTGTTGCAAAATGCAGCGCTGGGGTCTCCTTCACTAACCTTTTCTATCCCTCATTGCTCTTTCTTTGACTGCAATAGGTTACCTCTGGGCAAATCTGTATTCCCGAGAAAGAGTGCCCTTTTGGTGAGCTATAAGCACACTCAATGGTGGGCTGAAATACTAGCTTTTATCTATGGCGAAATGGAATCATATCAGTGATTTTTTTAAAAAGGAAATTTAACTCTTGCTATGGTTTGAATGCTTGCCCCTTCCAATCTCATGTTAAAATTTGATCCCCAATATTGCAGGTGGGGCTTACTGGGAGGTGTTTGGTCATGGGGTTGGACCTTCATGAATGGATAATACCCTCCCTTAGGAATCTAAAGGTATCCTCCCTCCTCGGTGCCCTCAGGAATGGGTGTACCATTCTTTATTCACTTATAATTCCTCCACCCATCCTTTTTGAGATATTAATTACATGTATGTTACACTGCTGCATATTGTCTGACGTATCAGTGAGTTTCTGGCTTTCTTATTTTAGTTTAACCTTTGTCCTTTAGTTTGTAAAGCTTCTATTTTTTTCTATAAATTTTCTGATGTTAGGGTAAAATCCATTACTTATTCTATCTCATGGAATTTTTATTTCAAATATTTATTCTTCATCTATACATGTCACATTTTTCATTTTATAACTTCTATTTTTCTCCTATGTTCAATTTTCATTTAAGTACCTTGACATATATATGTATTCATCTATATGTATTTATAAAATATATTTACTTTAAGGACCTTGAAATTTCCTTCTTCTCTGTCATTTATAAATGACTTATTTTTATCCTATTAATATATATCTTAATTATATATATCTTACGGCTTCTTTGCATGTCAGAGTTTTTTTTTGGGTATTTTGGTGTTATGCTATTGAATATCTAGATTTTATTGGCTACCTTTGAACAATGTTGTGGCAGACAGTTCAGTAACTTCAGGATGAGTATTTGTCTGTTGTTGTTTTAAATCTTCTCTTTAAACTTTGTCGAGTTAGTCTAGAGCCATCTGTAATTTGGAGCTAAATGAGCACTGTCTCTAGGGCATGAACCTCCAGTGGTCTTTACTGAATATCCTGGAGGTACAGAGGGGATTCCCTTCTCTGGCTGGTCAGAGCTAACGTGTCTTCCTGTCATGTGAAGCCAGGGAAGTGTTCTTCTTCCAACTCCCTGGTAGAGTCCTTTGCTGAGCTCCTTAGAATTTCATCCTATGTACATTTGGCTTAGGGACTTGGGAGAATCCTTAGGCTGAATCTTGGTTCCTTTTTCTGTAAACGTTCTCTTCTATTACACATTCCAGCTGCTTAACCTTTTTTGATTTTTATCTGGTTCCTCAGTGCAATGACAATGTCTGCTCTCTCTGGGATTCCTCTCTACTGCTGTCACGGAGAATCTGGGAATAAAGCAGGACTCATTCTGGCTCCTTCTCTTCTCTTGCAGAGCACAGTCCTACGCTGCCTGATGTTCAGTACTTCAAAAAAATGTTTCATATATTTTCTCCAGTTTACTATTCTTTAAAAGAGTAACTCCAGTCCCAGTTACAGCATCATGTTCTGTAACTCTACTCCTTGTTGCTTCATTCTGCCATTGTCTGGTATGATCGCCCCTTTCCCTTCTGTAATCAGACCAAGAGCATAATATAACACTAGTTATAACTGCACAGCTTGCCTCCGTTGTTTAAAAAAATCACTGAGACTTAACTGTGTACAACTTTTAAAATTTGAATATAAGTACAACTAAAGCTATATTTTGGTTAATATTTGCATTGCATGCTTTTCCATTATTTACTTTCAACATATGTGAAATATGAATATAGCTCCCTCTCCCTCTCCCTCTTGTCTCCCCACGGTCTCCCTCTCCCTCTCCCTCTCCCCAAGGTCTCCCTCTCCCTCTCCCTCTCCCTCTCCCCACGTTCTCCCTCTGATGCTGAGCCAAAGCTGGACTGTACTGCTGCCATTTCGGCTCACTGCAACCTCCCTGCCTGATTCTCCTGCCTCAGCCTGCCGAGTGCCTGCGATTGCAGGCGTGCGCCGCCACTCCTGACTGGTTTTCGTATTTTTTTGGTGGAGACGGGGTTTCGCTGTGTTGGCCGGGCTGGTCTCCAGCTCCTAACCGCGAGTGATCTGCCAGCCTCAGCCTCCCGAGGTGCCGGGATTGCAGACGGAGTCTCGTTCACTCAGTGCTCAATGGTGCCCAGGCTGGAGTGCAGTGGCGTGATCTCAGCTCGCTACAACCTCCACCTCCCAGCCCCCTGCCTTGGCCTCCAAAAGTGCCAAGATTGCAGCCTCTGCCCGGCTGCCACCCCGTCTGGGAAGTGAGGAGTGTCTCTGCCTGGCCGCCCATCGTCTGGGATGTGAGGAGACCCTCTGCCTGGCTGGCCAGTCTGGAAAGTGAGGAGCGTCTCTGCCCGGCTGCCATCCCTTCTAGGAAGTGAGGAGCACCTCTTCCCGGCCACCATCCCATCTAGGAAGTGAGGAGCTTCTGTGCCCGGCCGCCCATCGTCTGAGATGTGGGGAGCGCCTCTGCCCCGCCGCCCGGTCTGGGAGGTGAGGAGCGTCTCTGCCCAGCTGTCCCATCTGAGAATTGAGGAGACCCTCCGCCCGGCAGCCGCCCCGTCTGGGAAGTGAGGAGCATCTCCACCCGGCAGCCACCCCGTCCAGGAGGGAGGTGGGGGTCAGCCCCTGCCCGGCCAGCTGCCCCATCCGGGAGGGAGGTGGGGGGTCAGCCCCCCGCCCGGCCAGCCACCCTGTCCGGGAGGTGAGGGGCACCTCTGCCCAGCCGCCCCTACTGGGAAGTGAGGAGCCCCTCTGCCCGGCCACCACCCCGTCTGGGAGGTGTACCCAACAGCTCATTAAGAACGGGCCATGATGACAATGGCGGTTTTGTGGAATAGAAAAGGGGGAAAGGTGGGGAAAAGATTGAGAAATCGGATGGTTGCTGTGTCTGTGTAGAAAGAAGTAAACATGGGAGACTTTTCATTTTGTTCTGTACTAAGAAAAATTCTTCTGCCTTGGGATCCTGTTGATCTATGACCTTACCCCCAACCCTGTGCTCTCTGAAACATGTGCTGTGTCCACTCAGGGTTAAATGGATTAAGGGCGGTGCAAGATATGCTTTGTTAAACAGATGCTTGAAGGCAGCATGCTCGTTAAGAGTCATCACCACTCCCTAATCTCAAGTACCCAGGGACACAAACACTGCAGAAGGCCTCAGGGTCCTCTGCCTAGGAAAACCAGAGACCTTTGTTCACTTGTTTATCTGCTGACCTTCCCTCCACTATTGTCCCATGACCCTGCCAAATCCCCCTCTGCGAGAAACACCCAAGAATGATCAATAAAAAAGTATAGCAATTTATAATGTTTGATTTATCATTAGCCTATTGGCGTGTAATAATACTTTGCATACTTTTAAAATTCTGGGGTTGGATTAATAATAAAAGAGTAGAAACATTAAAAAAATATGAATATAAATTATAAAAATTTTAAGAGAGTCCATTTAAAAAATCTGGTCTAGTTATGTTTTACCTGGTTTAATACAACGTGCATTCTTGAATTCAGGGTCTAATATAATGGCTACATTTGTCTATTTGCAAAAAAAAACTTGACAATATTTTAAAATTAATTTATCCAACTCGCAACTTATATGCTTCTGCCGTTGTATGGAAGATACATTTTAAACTTTATGAGATAGCATTCTGTTATACAGTTGATATCTAATTAAATTTCTCTCTATGTTTATTTCTTTCATTAAAAAAATTGTTCTTCTAACTGCAAACTTTCATCAGGGATCATGGCTCTTCTACCTGAAGAATAATCTTTAGTATTTCTTTTCCTGTGGGTCTTCTTGGGAGAAATTCTTTATTGTATCTTTGCTTTTGATGGATATGTCCACCAAGTAGACAGTTCTAGGTCAGCACATATTTTATTTCAGGACTTGAAAGATATCAATACCTCACTTGTTGGCTTTCGTTGTTTCATTTGAGAAATTTGTTATCAGTCAACTCTTTCTCTTTGTAGTTACCCCAATTTTTTTATCAAGTGCTCTTTACATTTTTCTTTTACTTTTCAGAAATTGTCCCATTATGTTTCTAGATGTGTCCTCTGTGTGTGTTTTCCTTTGCTTTCAAAAGCCTCCTGAACCTGTGGTTTAATATTATTGGTCAATTTTGATAAAACCTCTAACATTGCCACTTAAAATGCTGTTCAGACACGCTGTTTTCTCCTTCTTAGATTTCAACGTGTTAGATTATTACTCTATCCTTCATATTTTTTAAATGACCTTACTCTACAATTTCTTTTAGTTGGTTAATCTGTATTACTGTATATTTTGTATTTTATTCTATTTTATTTTATTATTATACCTTAAGTTTTAGGATACATGTGCACAATGTGCAGGTTTGTATCATAAGTGTTCATGTGCCATGTTGGTGTGCTGCACCCATTAACTCGTCATTTAGCATTAGGTATATCTCCTAATGCTATCCCTCCCCACTCCCCCCACCCCACGACAGTCCCCGAAGTGTGATGTTCCCCTTCCTGTGCCCACGTGTTCTCATTGTTCAATACCCACCTATGAATGAGAACATGCGGTGTTTGGTTTTTGGTCCTTGTGAGAGTTTACTGAGAATGATGATTTCCAGTTTCATCCATGTCCCTACATAGGGCACGAACTCATCGTTTTTTGTGGCTGCATAGTACTCCATGGTGTATATGTGCCACATTTTCTTAATCCAGTCTATCATTGTTGGACATTTGGGGTGGTTCCAAGTCTTTGCTATTGTGAATAATGCCGCAATAATCATACGTGTGCATGTGTCTTTATTTCAGCATGATTTATAGTCCTTTGTGTATATACCCAGTAATGGAATGGCTGGGTCACATGGTATTTCCAGTTCTAGATACTTGAGGAATCGCCACACTGACATCCACAATGGTTGAACTAGTTTACCGTCCCAACAGTGTAAAAGTGTTCCTATTTCTCCACATCCTCTCCAGCACCTGCCGTTTCCTGACTTTTTAATGATCGCCATTCTAACTGGTGTGAGATGGTATCTCATTGTGGTTTTCATTTGCATTTCTCTGATGGCCAGTGATGATGAGCATTTTTTCATGTGTTTTTTGGCTGCATAAATGTCTTCTTTTGAGAAGTGTCTGTTCGTGTCGTTCACCCACTTTTTGATGGGGTTGTTTGTGTTTTACTTGTAAATTTGTTTGAGTTTATTGTAGATTCTGGTTATTAGCCCTTTGTCAGATGAGTAGGTTGCAAAAATTTTCTCCCATTTTGTAGGTTGCCTGTTCACTCTGATGGTAGTTCCTTTTGCTGTGCAGAAGCTCTTTAATTTAATTAGATCCGCTTCGTCAATTTTGGCTTTTGTTCCCATTGCTTTTGGTGTTTTAGACATGAAGTCCTTGCCCATGCCTATGTCCTGAATGGTATTGCCTAGGTTTTCTTCTGGGGTTTTTATGATTTTAGGTCTAACATGTAAGTCTTTGATCCAAGTTGAATTAATTTTTGTATAAGGTGTAAGGAAGGGATCCAGTTTCAGCTTTCTACATATGGCTAGCCAGTTTTCCCAGCAACATTTATTAAATAGGGAATCCTTTCCCCATTGCTTGTTTTTGTCAGGTTTGTCAAAGATCAGACAGTTGTAGTTATGCGGTGTTATTTCTGAGGGCTCTGTCCTGTTCCATTGATCTATGTCTGTGTTTTGGTACCAGTACCATGCTGTTTTGGTGACTGTAGCCTTGTAGTATAGTTTGAAGTCAGGTAGTGTGATGCCTCCAGCTTTGTTCCTTTGGCTTAGGATTGACTTGGTGATGCGGGCTCTTTTTTGGTTCTATATGTACTTTAAAGTCATTTTTTCCAATTCTGTGAAGAAAGTCATTGGTAGCTTGCTGGGGATGGCATTGAATCTCTAAATTACCTTGGGCAGTTTGGCCATTTTCACGATATTGATTCTTCCAACCCAAGAGCATGGAATGTTCTTCCATTTGTTTGTATCCTTTTATTTCATTGAGCAGTGGTTTGCAGTTCCCCTTGAAGATGTCCTTCATGTCCCTTGTAAGTTGGGTTCCTAGGTATTTTATTCTCCTTGAAGCTATTGTGAATGGGAGTTCCCTCATGATTGGGCACTCTGTTTGTCTGTTGTTGGTGTACAAGAATGCTTGTGATTTTTGTACATTGATTTTGTATCCTGAGACTTTGCTGAAGTTGCTTATCAGCTTAAGGAGATTTTGGGCTGAGACAATGGGGTTTTCTAGATATATAATCATGTCATCTGCAAACGGGGACAATTTGACTTCCTCTTTTCTTAATTGAATACCCTTTGTTTCCTTCTCCTGCCTGATTGCCCTGGCCAGAAGTTCCAACACTATGTTGAATAGGAGTGGTGAGAGCGGACATCCCTGTCATGTGCCAGTTTTCAAAAGGAATGCTTCCAGTTTTTGCCCATTCAGTATGATATTGGCTGTGGGTTTGTCACAGATAGCTCTTATTATTTTGAGATACGTCCCATCAATACCTAATTTATTGAGAATTTTTAGCATGAAGGGCTGTTGAATTTTGTCAAAGGCCTTTTCTGCATCTATTGAGATAATCATGTGTTTTTTGTCTTTGGTTAGGTTTATATGCTGGATTACGTTTATTGATTTGCATACGTTGAACCAGTCTTGCATCCTAGGGATGAAGCCCACTTGATCATGGTGGATAAGCTTTTTGATGTGCTGCTGGATTCGTTTTGCCAGTATTTTATTGAGGATTTTTGCATCAATGTTCATCAAGGATATTGGTCTAAAATTCTCTTTTTTTATTGTGTCTCTGCCCGGCTTTGGCATCAGGATGATGCTGGCCTCATAAAATTAGTTAGAGAGGAATCCCTCTTTTTCTATTGATTGGAATAGTTTCAGAAGGAATGGTACCAGTTCCTCCTTGTACCTCTGGTAGAAATCTGCTGTGAATCCATCTGGTCCTGGACTCTTTTTTGTTGGTAAGCTATTGATTATTGCCACAATTTCAGAGCCTGTTATTGGTCTATTCAGAGATTCAACTTCTTCCTGGTTTAGTCTTGGAAGAGTGTATGTGTCGAGGAATTTATCCATTTCTTCTAGATTTTCTAGTTTATTTGCGTAGAGGTGTTTGTAGTTTTCTGTGATGGTAGACTGTATTTCTGTGGGATCGGTGGTGATAAACCCTTTATCATTTTTTGTTGCGTCTATTTGATTCTTCTCTCTTTTCTTCATTAGTCTTGCTAGTGGTCTATCAATTTTGTTGATCTTTTCAAAAAACCAGCTGCTGGATTCATGAATGTTTTGAAGGGTTTTTTGTGTCTCTATTTCCTTCAGTTCTGCTCTGATTTTAGTTATTTCTTGCCTTCTGCTAGCTTTGGAATGTGTTTGCTCTTGCTTTTCAAGTTCTTTGAATTGTGATGTTAGGGTGTTAATTTTGGGTGGGGGATCTTTCCTGCTTTCCTTGTGGGCATTTAGTGCTATAAATTTCTCTCTACACACTGCTTTGAGTGTGTCCCAGTGATTCTGGTATGTTTTGTCTTTGTTCTCATTGGTTTCAAAGAACATCTTTATTTCTGCCTTCATTTTGTTGTGTACCCAGTGGTCATTCCGGAGCAGGTTGTCCATTTTCCATGTAGTTGAGCAGTTTTGAGTGAGTTTCTTAATCCTGAGTTCTAGTTTGATTGCACTGTGGTCTCAGAGACAGTTTGTTATAATTTCTGTTCTTTTACATTTGCTGAGGAGAGCTTTACTTCCAACTATGTGATCAAGTTTGGAATGGGTGTGGTGTGGTGCTGAAAAAAATGTATATTCTGTTGATTTTGGGTGGAGAGTTCTGTAGATGTCTATTAGGTGCGCTTGGTGCAGAGCTGAGTTCAATTCCTGGGTGTCCTTGCTAACTTTCTCTCTCGTTGATCTGTCTAATGTTGACAGTGGGGTGTTAAAATCTCCCATTATGATTGTGGGGGAGTCTAAGTCTCTTTGTAAGTCACTCAGGACTTGCTTTAGGAATCTGGGTGCTCCTGTATTGGGTGCAAATATATTTAGGATAGTTAGTTCTTCTCATTGAATTGATCCCTTTACCATTATATAAAGGCCTTATTTGTCTCTTTTGATCTTTGTTGGTTTAAAGTCGATTTTATCAGAGACTAGGATGGCAACCCCTGCCTTTTTTTGTTTTCCATTTGCTTGGTAGATCTTCTTCCATCTCTTTATTTTGAGTCTATGTGTGTCTCTGCATGTGAGATGGGTTTCCTGATTACAGCACCTTGATGGGTCTTGTCTCCTTATCCAATTTGCCAGTCTGTGTCTTTTAATTGGAGCATTTAGTCCATTTACATTTAAGGTTAATATTGTTATGTGTGAATTTGATCCTGTCATTATGATGTTAGCTGGTTATTTTGCTCGTTAGTTGATGCAGTTTCTTCCTAGTCTCGACGGTCTTTACAATTTGGCATGTTTTTGCAGTGGCTGGTACCAGTTGTTCCTTTCCATGTTTAGTGCTTCCTTCAGGAGCTCTTTTAGGGCAGGCCTGGTGGTGATAAAATCTCTCAGCATTTGCTTGTCTGTAAAGGATTTTATTTCTCCTTCACTTATGAAGCTTAGTTTGGCTGGATATGAAATTCTGGGTTGAAAATTCTTTTCTTTAAGAATGTTGAATATTGGCCCCCACTCTCTTCTGGCTTGAAGAGTTTCTGCCAAGAGATCAGCTCTTAGTATGATGGGCTTCCCTTTGTGGGTAACCCGACCTTTCTCTCTGGCTGCCCTTAACATTTTTTCCTTCATTTCAACTTTTGTGAATTTGACAATTATTTGTCTTGGAGTTTCTCTTCTTGAGGAGTATCTTTGCTGCATTCTCTGTGTTTCCTGAATCTGAATGTTGGCCTGCCTTGCTAGATTGGGGAAGTCCTCCTGGATAATATCTTGAAGAGTGTTTTCCAACTTAGTTCCATTCTCCCCGTCACTTTCAGGTACACCAATCAGACGTACGTTTGGTCTTTTCACATAGTCCCTTATTTCTTGGAGGCTTTGTTCTTTTTATTGTTTTTTCTCTAAACTTCCCTTCTCCCTTCATTTCATTCATTTCATCTTCCATCACTGATACCCTTTCTTCCAGTTGATTACATCGGCTCCTGAGGCTTCTGCCTTCTTCACGTAGTTCTCGAAACTTGGCTTTCAGCTCCATCAGATCATTTAAGCATTTTTCTGCATTGGTTACTCCAGTTATACATTCGTCTAATTGTTTTTCAAAGTTTTAAACTTTTTGCTATTGGTTTGAATTCCCTCCTGTAGCTCTCAGTAGTTTGATCATCTGAAGCCTCCTTCTCTGAAATCGTCAAAGTTATTCTCTGTCCAGTTTTGTTCCATTGCTGGTGAGGAACTGCATTCCTTTGGAGAGGAGAGGCACTCTGCTTTTTAGAGTTTCCAGTTTTTCTGCTCTGTTTTCTCCCCATCTTTGTGGTTTTATCAACTTTTGGTCTTTGATGATGGTGATGTACAGATGGGATTTTGGTGTGGGTGTCCTTTCTGTTTGTTAGTTTTCCTTCTAACAGAGAGGACCCTCAGCTGCAGGTCTGTTGGAGTTTGCTAGAGGTCCACGCTGGACCCTGTTTTCCTGGGTATCAGCAGCAGTGGCTGCAGAACAGCGGATTTTCGTGAACCACAAATTCAGCTGTCTGATCATTCCTCTGGAAGTTTGGTCTCAGAGGACTACCCGGCCGAGTGAGGTGTCAGTCTGTCCCTACAGGGGGGTGCCTCCCAGTTAGGCTGCTCGGTGTTCAGTGACCCACTTTAGGAGGCAGTCTGCCCAGTCTCAGATCTCTAGTTGCGTGCTGGCAGAACCACTACTCTCTTCAAAGCTGACAGGGACATTTAAGTCTGCAGAGGTTACTGCTGACTTTTTGTGTGTCTGTGCCCTGCCCCCAGAGGTGGAGCCTACAGAGGCAGGCAGACCTCCTGGAGCTGTTGTGGGCTCCACCCAGTTCCAGCTGCCTGGCTGCTTTGTTTACCTAAGAAAGCCTGGGCAATGGCGGGCCCCACTTCCCCAGCCTCACTGCTGCCTTGCAGTTTGATCTCAGAGTGCCATGCTAGCAATCAGCAAGACTCCATTGGCATAAGACTCTCTGAGCCAGGTGTGGGACACAATCTCCTGGTGTGCCGTTTTCCAAGCCTGTTGGAAAAGTGCAGTATTAGGGTGAGAGTGACCCGATTTTCCAGGTGCCGTCTGTCACCCCTTTCTTTGACTAGGAAAGGGAACTCCCTGACCCCTTGTGCTTCCTGAGTGAGGCAATGCCTCGTGCTGCTTCAGCTTCCACACGGTGAGCTGCACCTACTGTCCTGCACCCACTGTTTGTCACTCCCTTAGTGAGATGAACCCAGTACCTCAGATGGAAATGCAGAAATCACCCATCTTCTGCGTTGCTCACGCTGGGAGCTTTAGACCGGAGCTGTTCCTATTCGGCCATCTTGGCTCCACCCCTCATTTCATTATTTCATCATTTCATCATTTCACTTCATTTCATCATTTCATTTCATCATTTCATGCCATTTCTTCATTTCATCATTTCATCATTTCATTTCATTTCACCATTTCACCTCATCATTTCATTTCAGCATTTCATTTCATTTCTTCATTTCATTCCACCATTTCATTTCATTATTTCATCATTTCATCATTCCATTTCATCATTTCATTTAATCTCATCATTTCATTTCATCATTTCATTTCATTTCAGCGTTTCATCATTTCACCATTTCATTTCATCTCATCATTTCATTTCATCATTTTATCATTTCATTTCATTTCATTTCATCATTTCATCATTTCGTTTCATCATTTCATTTCATTTCATGTCATCATTTCATTTCATTTCAGTGATACATGTATTTAAGTGTTAATGTGATGCCCAGGAGACACACTATTTCCCTTTGTAAAACACCTCCTTCAACAAAAGTCAACCTCTCATGGCTGGCTAAGTCTACAGGGATACCAGCCTCTCTTCAACTACCCAATTTGATTCAGAACCTCAAACAGCACCGCAGTTTCATAAAAACCTAAAACATATACACAACACTTGGTTGTAAGTGAGCCAACAGTTTCTTGTCTCTTTCTCTGCTCAAGGCTTAAGGCCATGTCTCCCCAACTACGTTCAGTGGAAGAAAAGATCCCCTGGACAAATAAGTTTGAGAACTGTTGTTGCAGGACTTCTGAGAACCTTTAAAACACAAATCCTCATCTGCAGGGATCTTCAGGAGGGAGATGGCTGATGCAGCACAACTTTCTTTCACAGGAGCATCTTGCAGAATACAGTATGAGATACAGAAAGGCTGCATTGAGTCTTTTTAAGGGCCTGGGCCTTGGTGGAGGTGGGGTAGGAGCTCTCCAGATAGCATCTAATGAGTAGGAACATTCAGGTTGCTTTTTATTTCCTTACTGGCAAAACTGTGTGTGCATCATGAATGAAGCCGGTCTCCCTTATCCATATCAAAACTAAACCCAAATTAATTGGCTGAATTGGGACTCAACACCTCCAGGAGCCATGCGGAAGAAAGCCCCACCACACTTTACAGTAGCTTACCTAATCATATTTGATGAAAGCAAAACGCTTATGACCAGTGTGCTGCTAATACAAGTCAACAGATAATGCTGTAGGAAAAATTATTTTTCCCAATCATAGCTTCCATAGCCCACATTTTGCATTACACTTTCCCCCCTTTTTTAAAATTTTAAACACAGGTCCTTTTCTCTCCTTTTTTAAAATTTTAATTTAATTATACAAGACAGACTCTCAGTATGTTGCCCAGGCTGGTCTTCAATTCCTGAGATCAAGCGATACATCCGTCTCCGCCTTCCAAAGTGCTGAGATTACAGCCCTGAGACACTGTGCCCGGCCTTAAACACAAATCTTAATTCATTCTTACAATTATCCTGAGGTTAGAAAAATGGAAGGGGAAGAAAAATAGCAAGCAGGTAGGCTGACTTCGGCTTCATTATTTGGAAGGACAGTTTGCTCGGTTAAAACACACTACTGCCCACAAAGGCCAAGATAACAGAAAAATACAGACATATAAATAGATTTTATATGTGACAGCAGTTTGAATGGAGACTTTTTCAATGCAAATGACAAACAGCTGTGCTTGGGAATAAATGACAACGAATTTTTTTTATCTTAACAGCTGTCCTGAGAGCATGTCTCTACATCTCTACCTGCATTCTGGAGTCAGGGAGAAAGCCAAAACGGATGACAAGACACTAGATCAGCCGTGTCCAACCCTTTGACTACAAGGACTTTTCCACCTATCTGTGGTTGTGGGTATCATGAAAATTATGCACAAACTTTTTTTTTTAAGCTCATCAGCTATCGTTAGCAGTAGTGTATTTTATGTGTGGCCCAGGAGCATTCTTCTTCCAATGTGGCCCTGAGAAGCCAAAAGACTGGACACCTGTGCACTAGATCAAAAGGCTACTCCTTCTGGAAGCAATTGTAAAGAATTTCTGACATTATCTTGACATGAAAACCAATGGATAGTGGGACAGAATGAAAAATCTTCAAGAATTTTTCTTGTTGGTTTTTTTTTTTTTGAGTCAAGGTGTTGCTCTGTGGCCCAGGCTGGAGTACACTGGCGAGATCACAGCTCAGTGCAGGCTCAAGTGCTCCTCCCGCCTCAGCCACAGTAGTAGCTAGGACTACAGATGCGCACAACCACTCCTGGCTAATATTTTATTTTTTGTAGAGATAGGGTCTCACTATATTGACCAGGTTGGTCTCAAACTCCTTGACTCAAGGGATCCAGGACAGGATAACAGGCATGAGCCACCACACCTGGCTATGCGCATGAACTTTGAAGACAAATACAAGGCTCCACAAAAGTTAAGGTTTTCCCACCTAATTTCCAGGGAATCTTTTGGTGCAAGGATGAGAAACCCTTAAAAGTACGCAGACAACTCCAAAGATTCAAGAGAGTTCATTCGGGCTGAGCCAGCCCACTGGGCAGACTGACCTTCAAGCAAGGCCCACCCATGACATACACCAGATGGCTCTCCAAGAATCTCTCCACTTCTCAGGGTCCCTAAAGTACTGGACAGAGCTAGGAAAGCAAACCCATTTGCTTATTGCTGCACGAAACCCCTTGAGGTCAAGACCCCACAATCAGACAAGAATGGAGTGGCTCACCCTCAGTCAACAGGCCAGACTCAAGGTGGTATAATGTCTTAACCAAGGGTGTGGGACTCCAGGTCTGAATCTCAACTCAGTTCTCCTTTGATAACCACAATTTGTTAATTTTCCTTAACAGGGGTTCCTGACAAGTCATTTCTCCCTCAGGCCTTCGGTTTCCTCACCTACAAGATGAGAAGGCTGCACCAGATGGAAATTCGGGGTGTAAGGGGACGTCCGCGCACAGCCCACCCCACCCACGGGCCCCTCGAGCCTCCATCAAAGTTCCCAACACGCACCCACCCCACAAATCCTGCCCAAGGTGAGGGCTGGTCCCAGGTCCTCCGGCTGCTGCATCAGCGAGTGCAGGAGGGAGGAGAAGCCTCCAAGGGAGAGACGCGGGCTCAAGCATGCAACTCGGCCGGGAGTGAACTGGGGCCCCGAGGGAGATGTCCAGTCTGGTGCTGGAGCCCAACCCTGGTCCCCGACCCCCTTATCTCCACTGTCCGTATCTCCTGCTGGGTGAGGTCCTTGGACACAGTGCACTTGGTGCGCAGCCCGCGCAGGCTGCCAATGGAGATGCCGATGAGCTTCTGGAGCTGCCTGCAGGGCTGCAGCGCCCGGCTGGCCGCGGCCCCTGTGCCTCCCTCCGCGATAGCCGCGTCACCCCCGCCACCGCCCTCCTTCTTCTCTCCCATCGGGGCCTAGCGCAGCGCCCCTCTATGCAGGCTGCAGTGGCCCAGGAGCGGAGCCTGGGGCGCGGGTGTCTAGGCAAGGAACCCCCGAACCAGGAGAGCTAGATCAGGAGTGACCCTCGGAGCTGCCTTAGCCAGGACGCCAGTAGATCTGGAAGCCGAGTCTGACGATCCCGCCCTCAGACCCGCGGCGGTGGGGGCAAAAACCCGCGACGGCGGGGTGAAAAAGCCTCAGCGGTAAAAACCTGCCGCAGCGGCAGTAAAAAGCCGCATGGGCAAGAAGCCATGGCGGCGGGGAAAAAGCCACGGTGATGGCAAAAAGCCGCGGCGGCGGGGGCAAAAAGCCGCAAAAAGCCGCGGCGGCGGGCGCAAAAAGCCGCAATGGTGGGGGCAAAAAGCCGGGGCGGTGGCGGAAAAAGCCGGGGCGATGGGGGCAAAAAGCCGTGGCGGCGGGGGCAAAAAGCTGCGGTGATGGGGGCAAAAAGCCGTAAAAAGCCACAGCGTCGGGGGCAAAAAGCCGCGGTGGCGGGTGTAAGAAGCCGCGGCGGCAAAAAGATGCGGCGGCCGGGACAGAAAGCCGCGGCGGCGGGGGCAAAAAGCAGGGGTGGCAAAAAGTCACGGCGGCGGCGGGGGAAAAAAGCCGCGGCAGGAAAAACCTGAGGCGGCGGGGGAAAAAAGCCGCTGCGGCGGGGACCAAAAGCCCCAAAAAGCCGCGGCATCGGGTGCCAAAAGCCGCAAAAAGCCACGGCGAAGGGGCTAAAAAGCCGCAAAAAGCCGCGGCAGAGGGGGCAAAAAGCAGCGGAGGCAAAAGGCCACGACGGCGGGGGCATGAAACCGCAAAAACCCTCGGCGGCAGGGGCAGAAAGCCGCAACGGCGGGGGCAAAAATCAACGGGGGCAGGTGCAAAAAGCCGTGGCGGCAGGGGCAAAAAGCAACGGGGGCGGGGGCAGAAAGCCGCGGCGAGGGGGGCAAGAAGCCGCGGCGGCAAAAACCCATGGCGGCGGGGGCAAAGAGCGGCTGAGGTGATAAAAAGCTGCGGCGGCGGGGGCAGGAAGCCGCGTAGGGGGCAAGGAGCCGCGGCGGAGGGGGCAAAAAGCAGCAAAAAGCCCAGGCGTAGGGGCAAGAAGCCGTGGCAGGAAAAACCTGCGGCTGGCGGGGGGAAAAAGCCGCAGCGGCGGGGGCGAAAAGCTGTAAAATGCCGCGGTGGCGGGGGCCAAAAGCCGCGGCGGCAAAAAGCCACATAAAGCCGGGGCGGCGGGGCAAGAAGCCGCAGCGGGAGAAACCTGCGGCGGCGGGGGCAAAAAGCCGTAAAAAGCTGCGGTGCTGGGGGCCAAAAGCCATAAAAAGCCGCGGTGGAAAAAGTCGCGGTGGCGGAGGAAAAAAGCCGCAAAAACCGCGGCAGCGAGGGCAAAAAGCCGTGGCTTCCGGAGCAAAAAGCCGTGGCGGCGGGGGCAAAATAGTGGAAATGGTGTAGAAGGCCAGCACAGCTTGGCATTCCTGGAGTGTTATGTGGAAGGAAAAGTGCAGAGGAAGACAAACAAAGATGTAAGTAGGCTTGACTCAGTGCAACTAAGAACCCAGATGTTATCTATCAGCTAATTTTTTGTATTTTAGTAGAGAAGGGGTTTTACCACGTTGGCCAGGATGGTCTCAATCTCCTGAACTCATGATCCGCGCACCTCAGCCTCCCAAAGTGGTGGGATTAGAGGCATGAACCACAAAGTGCTCAAAAAATCTATTAATTAAAAAATGTGTATGTAGCCATCTTTAATCTACCATGTCCATTAGCAGATAAGTACTATAAGCAAAATAACAACAATGAAAGAAACATTGACTTAGAGTAGATACTCTGATTTATTTAATAAAAATTTGAAAATAGACCAAATTATGACAAAAAAAAAATCTGTTACTATTGAGGATGAGGGTTAGTGTTTGGAAAGGGGCAGGAGAAGTATCTCTATTTTTAGTAATGTTCTATTTTCATACATGGTTATAAGCAAATACATGTGTTTCATTAATCAAGCTATCTATATTTAATCATTGTACTTTTCTGCATGTATGATATATGTCAATAAATGTCTTAAAGTATATACAGCAAAAATAGACAAAACCACAAGAAGACATACACAAATGTTAAACCTAGAGAGAAATTTGAATATAAGTAAGTCTCTGAATGACTGGTAGAACAAACCGAAAAATAGGATGGAGAGGTTTGGAACAGCATGATTAGCAAAATTGACATATCTGTCTTTTAATATAGGCAGAAACATAGTTAGATAAAAAAAGGACTTGTCTCGGAGCATGATTTCTGAAAACAGTGGAATCGAGTTTGAATCTAGTAAGTACATATAAATAAATGTCTTAAAACTCCTCTTATGTTAGCTAATTAAGAAACACTATTGTAATAGACATTAGAAAATATTTTAATAAATTGAGTGGATTTCACACGCTAAGGAAATGATCTTACTTGCATTTGATAGTTCAATTAGATACATATATACCTATAGGTAGTTTAAAATATTTCTAATAACCTTATATACTTTTAAAAAGCATTGATATCTGTTTGCACTATATGGTCTATAGAGTACACATACCAAACATGATTATAGCTCTTCTGCTATAAACTTCAAATGTCTAATTAATACAAAAATCTAGAATGAGAAGAGTTCTTTGCATTTTTTTTTATCAAATAGAATATAGGAAAGATAGCTGCAAATATACCTGACACACTTATCTGTGAGTATGGTGGTAGCCTTTTTATTTTATTTTATTTTGAGAGAGGGTCTCACTTTGTCACCCAAGATGGAGTGCAGTCATGTGATCAGAGCTCACTGAAGCCTTCACATACTGTGCTCAAGCGATTCTCCTACCTCAGTCTCCTGAGTAGCAGGGACTGCAAGTGCATGACACCATACTAGCTAATTTTTGTAAAGATGGGGTTTCACCATGTTGCCCTGGCTGATCTCCATCTCCTGGACTCAAGAGATCTGGCCACCTTGGCCTCCCAAAGTGCTGGGATTATAGTTTTGAGGCACCACAATCAGCCCAGCCTTAAAAAAGGCTGACTAGAGATCTTTATCTATGTATATCTATATCTATCTATAAAATAAACATATGTGCTTCTTATATAAAAATATATATTATTAATATTATATAAAATTTTTTTCAAGGTAGAAATATATAAAGAGGGTGCATGTAGAGCCTGGGGCATTGTGTAGTGAAGCTCAAGGCCTCTGAAGAAATGCCCCTTGCCTCTTTTGTCTGGGCTAGAATCCGAGAAGGGAAAGCAGCAGATGCACTGGTTCCCAGGTTCTTGGCATCCTACAGAGAGAAACTTGTTTGAGCTAGGGTAGCGTTAAACACCCTTGTTCTTACTCTCCTGTTTTATATAGTGAGCAGAGACTAGCTTCATGAGAACAGACTGTGACAGTCAAGGCTGTCTGATATTTTGTGCAGCATTAATTGAGAAATTCTAGCACCTGAAGAACTCTGGGCCATTTGAGGGTAGGTGCAGGGGAGGAAAGGGAAGTTTGCATCCCTCCTGCTGTGGAGAGAACCCGTGGGAAGCACAGACCTTGTCCTAACTGAAGGCAGACCACCTTGCTAACCAGCTTCTCATCAGCCAACCCTGGATGAGTTTCTATGTCTATTTACTAAATAATCCTTATTGCTTTTCTTCATATGGGCAAAGTATGGTTTACAGGGAATATTGTTCCTTTGAACACCCATCATGGAAAACCCTTCCTGTTGTGGGAAACCAGGCTTCCATATGTGTATTATTGGGAAACACATAGGCAATTTCTATGTTTTTACTGCATCTATTTCAGGGATATGGGAACTGAATAGTGCCCATCAAAGGCTCACCTGATGTTGGAAATTGATCTGAGAGCGCGGAAGGACAGAATTCTTTCTTTGTTCCTGGGCAGCGGTGGTTGAGGGATCATTTTGTGGCAGCTACAGTGGCAATGATGGAGGCATAATGGCGGGCTCAGTACCAAGACAAGGAGAGACTTGGCCTCACAATGGCAGCATTGCAGGGGTGCGCTCTACAGAACATTTGCTCACATGGTTTTGGGCATTGTCTCTAACTACATTGCTTCCCCAATAGGTTGACCCATTCTAACTAACTCCTTTTCTCTTTAAAAAAGCAAACTTCATTTGTATGACTTGCAATTGTAAACGACACCAATTGGCCAGTTATCATTCAAATTCTCTGTTACTTAATCCTGCCTTTTCCTGACGTATGCAACTTTCCCCTAAAAAATTGGACACTTTGTTGCTTACTCATTGTCTTTACACATTTTAAAATGTTGCTTTATGCCCCCAATCCCTAACTACATTTTCAATGTTTTGCAAGTGGAGTCCAGGTGTTCTTGATTTACATGAAGCTCAAAATAATGGTTATAGTAAGTAGTACTTCATAATTAAGCAAAAAGCTCTTATTGAAAAATGACAGAACTATACATAGGGATGACAACATGGAGAGATATTTCGTGAGATCACAAAGTTATGGTATGGCAGAAGTAGAATGCTGAATAGAGACTCTGTGTTCCCAATCATTATTTCTACCACCAGCTTTCTATTTTGATGTTAATAATGTTCTTATGTGGGAAACCCTACATATTTGCCAATGTTTAGTTCATTGACAAAGAAATAGAAAGAGCTTCAAGAACACTCTAATATTTAAAAAATAAAATGTCTATAATTGGCCATACGAAAAAATTGGTACTTGACATATACTGAGATCGTTTTATTTTGTGCTAGACAAATGAAGTCATAGAACAGAATGTGCTTTAAATATTATGAATAGTGCTTGCATGTGTGCGTGTGTGTGTGTGTCTATAGATGCATATTAGGCCGTTGAAAAGTTTTATTATTCTTTCGAGGAGAGAGACTGCCAACTTTTGAACCTAACTAGAACAAGTATATTGCTTCTTCATATTTTGATTAAGGCAAAGAGAATCTAGTTAAAAATAATTCAACTTATCGTGGAAATGCTATAAATTGCTGTGAAGTGAGTTGCTGGTTATGGCTTGTCAGAGCAAATATATTGTACAAATCTTAGGGGAGAATTAGTGCTTATACATTCAAATCAAATCATCTTGCAGCAGACTGAGAAAAACGTTAGATTTTTAAAATAATTTCAAAGTCATGAAAAGAGCAAATATGCTCCACAAAGAGCCTAGCAACCCTCAATGACCAATGCCCCTTTAATATAGTTTGGTATCTGAATTAGAATCCCAGAATCTACAAATACCTCTGGGTGTGGGTGCTGCATTTTGAGGATTTTATAACACTGCCATCACCAAGCTCTCTTTTGATATTCACTTTAAGGAGATAATTTACGGGCAACCAGAGAGCATAAACCAAAGTAGATATCTATCTAGATAGATAGATACATCTCCATATCATTGACAGGATACATTCTAGCCGAGTGTGAGTACAATCTATGGATGTGGTTGGAGAGAACATGTGTTCCACCTGAGTGGCAGATCAGGATTATTCCTTCTCATCTGCTGCAATGGCTCAATGTGTTAAGGAGAGGAGCGAGACAGCAAGAACTGCATTCATTCAGTCATACAGACCAAAAGGAGGAATGTCGCCCAGCCCTCTAAACTGACCCAGAACCCAGCTCATGTCTCAACTGCTACCTCTACTACTTAGAAAGAAGTAACTCCACTAAAGCAGGGTTCTGGACAAATATATTTTTATTGATCATATACAAATAGATGAAGATGGACTTGGATGTTAAGAAAAATAATGCTATACAAAATCGAGAGTAGAGAGTCGCCCCTAGACTTAAATTAAGGGTGTGTACATTAGATAATTTAATCCAATCTATCAGGTAAAAACTTGAACAAACCTTTTGGCCTCTTCCTTAAAATTCAGGGAAGTATGTCCTCCACAAAACAGAATCAAAATATAAATAAAAGACTGGCTTAAGATGAAAATAAACCTTACAAATGAAAAGCCAGATGAGAGGCACTTAACTGAGAATGAAAAGAAACTGAGCGGACAAAATAATTATGAGAAGATGAACCTTCAAATCAGAAAGAGGGAAAAAAGCTTATTTGATACTATGAGAACTCAAAAGAGAGTGAACACAAGTGTGAAAATTCCAAGAGTAAAGAAAAGTAGCATAACTAAATTAAGAGCATGAGAAAATGTGTACAATTTTGAGTAATAAGAGCGGAAATCCAAAGTACCTATTGTATGTGATATTTTAGTAGAGCAACACTGAAGAAGAATGAAAACAAGAAATAATATTAAATATGAACATATGGAGAACAGAATAATATTTTTAAATTTTTTAGTTTCTAAGCTTATCTGAAATTTTAATTTTGGTTTCTTATATAATACCAGAGTTATTAGGAAGTTATTAGCTAATAACACTATTTTCAGTGATATTTTAAGTATTTGTCCTAGAAAAATTTCTATTTTTGAAAAATGTATATTTAAAAATACATTAAATGTGTATATACATCAATCATATGTATCGATTTATGTTTTTCTTTAATTGCAAATGAAATTTGTATTTTTGTGTTCCTGGAATAAAATAAACTTGAATGGATTGTAATATATTATTCATGCTGTAATTCAACGTATTTGAATTCTTTAAGAATGTTACATTTATAGTTAACAGATATTGATTTTCTGTCATAATGATGTTGTGAGACAATCTAAGAGGAATTAAAATTTAAATTCATGTATTCCTCCTTTTTCCTCTGTTCTCTAACTGTAATATATTTTAATTACAGATGGAGGAACAGATAGATGTTAGATAAATAGGTATATAATATATAGATCATCCAAAATTCTTATTCTTATGGTTTTATGTAGTCAGTATTTACCTCTATTTTTCTGCATGTTTATCATTCCAATTTAGTTCATTACTTCCTGCACCTTTGATGTCATATATATAAACAGGAAATAACACATGGTGGCCGGGATGTAGAGAGAGCCACAGGACTTGTGAATAAAATCCACAGGCAAGGATGTGGCGATTCCTTTTGCAATATTGGAGGGAATGCCAAACCCTATGTTTGCTGTGGAAAAGAGTATGTTAGTTCCTCAAAACATCAAAATGGTATTGCCATATGATTCAGCAGCTCCACATCTCAGGATAGCAAAAGAAATGAAAGCAGAGTCTTGAAAAAATATTTACACATCCATATTTGCAGCAGCATTATTGGCAATAGCTAAAACGTAGAAGCAATTGAAGTGTCCAACAACAGATGAATGGATAAGCAAAATATGATATATACATACAATGGAATATTATTCAGTCTTAAACATGAGGGAAATATTCTGACATATGTTGCAACTTGGATGAAACTTGAGAATATTATGCCAAGTGAAATAAGTTAGTCAGTGAAGGACAAATACAGTATAATTCCATTTGTATAAGGAACTTAAAGTGGACAGAGTCACAGAGATAGTACAATGATGGTTGCCAGAAGCTGGGGGGAGGAAGACATGGGGAAGTATTGCTTAATGAGTATAGAGTTTCAGTTTCACAAGATGAAACGAGTTATGGAGATGGATGGTGGGGATGGCTGCACAATGTTATGACTATATTTAGTACCACTGAACTGTGCACTTAAAATGGTTAACAGAGTACATTTTATGTTATGTGTATTTTACCACAATAAAAAAATAAAATACCTTAGGAACATTTTCCTGAAAGAGTCCACATAAAATTCATTTTAATGCATGTGTTTATGCATAGATTTCTATTTTTCTCTTTTCTATTTATATTCCAAATTAGAATATAATGCTAATCAATCATAGTGGCTGTGTTTCTTCCTTCCTCTAGTCTGCAAGTAGCAAGCAAATGTAATAAACTACTTATTCATGTCACACCTATTTATTTTCTGCCTTATACCAAGCTTGTGGGATTCTATTAAATACAACATTTTTATACGTACACCTATGCAATACCCATTAGCATCGCCTTCCTAAATCAGGGGAAATTGAGTGTCTGTAAGGTGCGGTAACTTACTAAGATACAAAACTCAGCATTAAAGTCTGTATACTTCAATATCCTGCCCTCTTCTCATTTGTCTTTACTGCCTTTTATGTATGTGTTAGATGTTCAATAAATACTCTTTTTTAAACTGAATTTAAGCCGTGGAGCAGTGTTTTGTTGAACAATAAATATGATATTGGACACTCTTTCTCCCTTTCATTTATGATGCAGTTCATGAAAAAGAGAAATTCTTTCATTGTGCTAGAAGCTTAAAATAATGAAAATGCCACTTTCTACATTAAACAGAAACTGAAGGGAAACAAGATGAATTGGATGAGACATAGAAAACAAGTGGGAAAGAAATCTAGTATAATTTCCCCTTTGTGCACCTTTGTTATTTAGCATTTGAGAAAATGTTTCCCCCAAATATCTTCCCATCTTAATTCATGTCTATAAAGTAGACATTTATGTCTCACCTTGTCAAGAAGGGCAAACTCTAACATAAACATTTCCCAAAAATGCTTCCTGCTAAAACGTAAGCTCAGTCTGGCTAGAAATTAAGCTCATTCATAAAAATTAGTTGGCAGCTAATCTTTGCATGCTGTTCTCTGAACTTGAGTGAAAGCTGTCCATCAGGCATACAGGGAATGACGGAAAAGGTGACAACAGAAGATGAATGCTATGTCACTAACCTTCAAAGACGACCTTCCTTTTCTTTCAAATTCTTGATATCTTAAGACTTCATTAATTCATCTTTCTTTGCCCTTGGTTCAACATTGTGCTATACCAAAACTCATGTAAAACAATGATCTATTGTAATAAAAATGGCATTTTTCTTTCATGTAGATGCAAGCTATCTGGCATTTTTACAATCAACATACTTCCGTTGTTAATTTTTCATTCTGTATTGGCAGTAATTGATAGGTATTTCTGAAGGGATGAAGGTGTTTCTGTGTTCATTGAGATCCAAACTTTTTTAGACCTAGTGGTGTTTGTAAAACAATTTGTGCCAGCTGACAAAGGACCACTGTGGCAGAAAGCAGCAAACTTGCATAAGATGTCACTGCCTCATCAGTTGGCTTTGAAAACTAGGGGCTTACTCTATAGTCCTATGAATCAAAGACATTGATTGATGTAGTATAAGATTACAATCATATTTTCCTTTTGACAGTCATATTATAAGGCATGATGTATTGCAATTAATCTCAATTAGCTGATCACAATTAAAATTAATAATGTTTATTATTGCTGATAAACAATCATGACTCTCCTGTTCTCAAATGTGCAAGTAATTCTTGTAATTTTAATACAAATTTGCATATTATTACTAATTGATTTAATCTCATTGTATTTGGTTCATGGATCCAATTTATTAAAATATTGATAATGGGGCAATGATTTGTCTCCCCATTTCATTTACACTAAAAGACACAATTCGTACAATGGTCTGCAAGCCCATCATGATCTGCCGCATTTGTTACTGAGTTAAAACAATTTTTCTATATTCAAGATACATATTTATACAGACATATAGATATGTGTTTTTCAAATATCTTCTCACAATTTTTGAGCTGCCTTTTGACTTGCTTGGTTGTCCTTTGAAACACCAATGTCTTTAATTTTTAAGAAATGTTAAATAACTAATTTTTATTTTGTTGATCATGTTTTTGGTGTTACAGCTATTTCTTTGCTAGATCCAAAATCCTGAAGATTTTCCCATAAGCTTTATTCTAGCTCTTGCATGTATATCTTTAATTCATTTAAGTTAATATTTTTGTATGCTTTGGGGTAAGGATTCCAATTTATTATTTTGCAAGTGGCGATCCACGTGTACGTTGTTGACAGAGTTTGTTCAAAGAAGGTCTCTTCCTCATTGAATTGCACATGGCACCACTGTAAGAATCCATTGACTATAGATACATAGTTTTATATATGGACTCTCAATTCTCTTCCATCAATCTATATATTTTTCCTTCATCAGTATTGTGTTGTCTTGATTACTGATGCTTTGCCATAAGGTTTGGAGCATGGGGGTGTGAATTATCCTAACATGTTTTCTTTTTTCAAGACTATTTTGGCTATTTTAAGTCCCTTACAATTCCACGTGTATTTTAGAATCAGCTTGTAAGTTTCTAGACAGAAATCTGTTGGGATACTTGCAGGGATTACGTCAAATCTGTAGTTCAACTTGTAAAGTACTACAATATTAAATCTTCCAATTCATGGCTGTAAGATATTTGCTAATTATTTAGATCTTCTTTAAACAATAATTTTTAATTTTCAGAGTAAAATCTTATATCACATTTTCCAAATTAATTATTATTTCTTTTTTTGATGCTATTGTAAATTGAAGTGTTTTCTTAATCTCATTTTAGGGTTTTCATTGTAGATGTGTGCAATTGATTTTTGTATATTTATCTTGTATGCTGTAATATTGCTGAAGTAATTAACTAGTTCTATCGTTCAGTGGATTCCTTAAAATTTTCTATATACAAGAATGTTATTTGCAAATAAAGTTTTATTTCCTCCTGTTCAATATGGGTGACTCTTATTTCTTTACTTGCCGATTTGCCCTGCATAAAATCTTCAGTACAGTGTTGACTAGAAGAGGTCAAAGTACGTATCCTATTCTTATCTCTGACCATAGCGGGAAAGTATCCTTTCTTTTACCACTAAGTTGAATATTTGCTTTTGGCTTTTCACAGGTGCCATGTATCTGGTGTAGAAAGTACTCTATTCCTGGCTCATTGAGTTTTTATTTTTATTTTTAATCATTAAAGCATTTGGATTATGTTAAATGTCTTTTCTGAATCTATCGAGATGATCATGAAATTCTTGTTTCTTATTCTATGGATAAGATGTATTACCTTAATGGATTTTGGGCTGTTAAATCATCCTGAGATTACTAGTATAAATATCACTTTGTCATAGTGCATAATTCTTTTACATGTTGCTAGATCTGATTTGTTAGTAGTTTTTAAGGAATTTTGCATTTATACTTATAGTAGTTTTATTTTTCTATGCTATTTGGACTAATTTTTGTATCAAGGTAACACTGGCCCCACAGAATAAATTGGGAAGTGAATATTTCTCTTTTTAAAAAAAGTTAGTCAAGAATTAATATCAATTAGTCAATACTAACAAATATGATCAATATTATAAATTATTAATTTCTCTAATTTTTATTTTCTTCCTTCTGCTTGCTTTAGGTTTAGTTTGCTATTTTTTCCATTGCCTTTATGTGGAAGGTCATCTTATCTCATCCTTTCCTTTGTCTTTTCATTTTCGAAATAGTGTCTTTTTTGCATCAGGTGAGCTCCCCAGGTTGGTAGTACTCCATGTTTATTGCTGTACAACAATGACAGGTAATATGTCCTGAAGACAATGGAAACTTAACATTCAAAATCCTCCTAGATTTCACCTTATGTGATATGTCTTTTCCTTTGATTGGTCCAATTTCTACCCTTTCTCTATTATAAACCATGAGTACAATGGCATTCAATGAGTTCTGTGAGTCTTTCTAGTAAATTCTTGAAACTGAGGGTGTTCTGGGGAAACCCTGATCTGGCAGTTGGTGTCAAAAGTGCGAATCGTCTTATATGGCCTCTTCCTTTGAACTTTGCATCTGGACCCAAACTCTGCACAATTTGGGCCAGCAGTCTCGTGTTGACTTTGCAGCCTAAATTATCTTGTAGTTTGTCTAATCCTCAAAAATTTGCTTTCATCAAATATTGTATTTGTTACCCCAAAATTACCATCATGTATTTTTCTCCAAATAACTAACATTAGGAGAAATAGCCAGCTGAATCTGTAACTCAACAGAAACAAGTGATCCATATACCATATAAGTGGCCATTTCATTTTGCCTCCTTCCACCAAATCTTAGCAACCTCAACCATTGCCGTGAGCCACTGTAGGCCTACCATCTACAAACCAACAAGTATCTTTTAAAAACACTTCATGCTCCCATTTGATAAATTTCCCAGCAAAGGGATGCTTACTTTAACTCTATGCAAGTGGCTCATACTCGCAAAGTCTGCAGATATTATTCATGTAGTGTGAGAAAATCATCCCAGAGATGCCAGCACATTCTCCTACCCATGATCTGCTTAGTTTGCAAACATATTCAGGCCATGGGTGAGAGATTTGTATTTCACAGTACAACAATTTTATGGAGGACATTGAAACTTAGATTGAGCATTTTAGTACAGTCACACATCACTGAGTGATAGGGATACGTTCTAACAGATGCATCCATAGGCAATTTCATCATTTTGCAAACGTCAGAGAGAATATTACAAACACCTAGTTTGTACAGCCTACCATGTCTGGTTATATGGTAGAGCCTCTCTCTCCTAGGCTACAAACCTGTGTACTACATTACTGTACTGAATATTGCAGGCAATAAGAACACAGTGGTAAGAAGTTATGTATCTAAACATACTTAAACATAGAAAAGTATGTAAAAATGTGTATTATAATCTCATGGGAACACTTTTGTATATGCAATCCATCTTTGACTGAAATGTTATTATGCATGACATGACTCTATGACAAAAATAAAATAGTACATTTTTTAAAATGTACAAATGTATCAAACATATTATAAAACTAAAAATATTTATTCAGTGTAAGAATTTGTAATGATCACAAAATGTTCACAGCTTATATTTAAGTACAGTTTCAAATGCCTAGTGCAATTACTATTTATTTCTTTTTGTATTTTAAACATGTATATAATAAACATTTTTCAGGTTCAGCAATATATATCAATCCTACAGGCTCTTATAAATATTAGTTAAAATCAATTGGTAAATTCATGTGTATATACGCATACCTGTATCAGTGAGCATGTGTGCATGTATGTTTGTGTAAACGTAATTATATGTGTGTGTAAATGTAATTGGATGCATCCTTATATTTACCCTTACCTGCAAGATTTCCAAGATTCATTTATTATCTTTAGATGATGGGCATTTAAAGATTTACCAAATACAACGGTAATAGTGGAAAATATCAAGATGTTATTAAATTCATCTTGTGCAATAATTATTTCTATAAATTTATGTTTCTTGTAAAACTTGCAGTAATGCTCATGCACAAAATAATTTTCTAAATAAAAAATAAAAACGTTTTCTCAGTCATTAATTCTTAAAATTATTTCTCCCCAATAATTAATGTGAATTAATTCTTAATTCTTAATTATAGAATAATGTTGCCCTTCAGAGTTCGGAAACTTTTACATGTTGTACACATTTCACTAACCAGAACAACTTCTGAAATATTGGCATTAATTAATGTCACTCAGCAATTATTGATTTCAAAGGCATTAAATACCATTCATATTCTGAATCACAAGGGTACTTTGGCATCTTTTTTAATCAAGCTCTCTGTATCATCATCTACACTTTAATTACTTAACAAACATTTCTCTGTATGAGAAAGATTGAGCAGGTTATTGTGCTTTTTTAAGATACAACTTTTGCTTAATCTAGAGATAGGCAATGCTCCCTATAAGGGACAAAGAGAAAAATAAATGAGCAATAGAGATGCGACAGGCATGGAAAAAGACACTACATTTATCAAACAAATAGGTCCCATAAAGTTTTGAGTCAATTAGAATATGTTTGTATCAGTCTGTCTACAGTTTTACACCTGTCAAAATGTACTTGAACTACAACAACTACCCTGAACAATTTTGAAATGTATGATTCCTCTGAAACTGATTAAAAGAATTATGGTAGAGTGAAATTCTGATTGACATAATTTGGGAGAGAAATTATTCCTTGGACATCAACCTCTGCCAAGATAGTTTATAATGACATTGAGACTTTTTGATTTACAAAATTTGTTATATAAAAAATACTAAGACGATGGCAGATAATACACAGAATTTAATTAAAATTGTACTACAATTAAATGTCTAAATAAATTAGAAGGGTACATGGTACATCTAATTGTATGTTTATATATTTTATTTGTGCATTTTTTTCCTAGGGTTGCTTTTGCTTTAGTTTGTAAAACGTTCTTATTTTTATGATAATGTAGCACATACTAAATAAAGAAAAATCAGGAAATAGAAAATGAAGAAAACATTAGTTATTGTCAACCAAATAAAAATTGTGCAATCTCTAAGCACATGAAGTATGTATTATTTGTACAGCATGTAGAACGTTTATGCTTCACAGCGTGAGGTAGAGACTGCAAAACCTTGAACTTGGGACAAATAAGAAAGTAAGGAAATTTTCACAACATATTAATATTATAGAAAATGTTGAACTTAACAGTTAAGGTACAAGTAGTGAAAAATGATAGTATTTAAGGAGATCTAGAAAATTTAATCTATACCTGTAATGTGTGAGAAGTATTAGAATAATGCTTGTATTTCTGGATTTGCATCAATTTCTATTGAGACTGGAAACATAATAGAAGTGAGGGAAAAAGAATTTAAATTGTGGATACTTGAGTTTTATACCTAGGAGTTCGAGAAATACATTTTGTTACTATCAAAGCAGTTGGCACAAGAGTGTACAAAATTCCCTAATTGTGTCTATGTGGAGAAGACATAGACAAACAGAGAATAGTAAAACAGAAATAGCAAAAAAGCACAAACAAATTTTACCTGTAATTTTAAGTAAAAGCCAATTAGAGAAGGAAAACATGAAATTTGTGTTTTATCAAAATTTTTCTCTTTCTCATAATGCAGTTGAATATATTACTGGAAAAAAATTGAAGCACTGGTATGTTCACAAAAAAAGTAAAATATAAGGTCAAAACCATGGGAATGCAGGGAGCAGACAAAATATAACTAAACACCGAAACTGATTTTGCCTTATGGACGTGTACCAAAATGAATGAGTGCAGATTCCTACTGTCATACATCACATAAGACAGTAAAGAAATACATAGTTTTTCCCAAGATAGAGCATCACACAGGAGCTCCTCCCTAAAGCTAGGACCAAAATTTATATCCTGAGTATAAAGAAGAATCAGAGGTAAATTAGTCCCATTTCACATTCCCTGGAAATGGCAAATAAAAATGACTTGAGATTGGACAGATTTAAAGAAACTCAATCACTAATGATTTAGAGCAAGTAATTTAAAAATTGTTTAAATGTGCAACCCAAACATACGTCCAAATCCCTTTAGGCCAAGAATTAACATAATGTGGTCCCAGAATGGTGGTGCCTTTAGTAGAATCACAAAAAAATTCAAATTCTCTTTGGCAAATTTTCTACTTACAAATCCTCAAAAGTGCACAAAAATAATTTTCAGAGAAAAATAAATATTTGTCATTCAAAGGCATCTAAGTATGCAAGGAAATGATATTCCACCATTTGAAAGGAAAGCAGAAAAGGAGTACAAACAGATCCACAAAGGTTCCTTAGTAGATCTATCACTTAGATTATAAAGCACATTTGCTTTCAAAAATTTTTTTAAAAAAGAATATATTGTTAGGAGACTAAAAAATTGATGTAGCAAATTTGAAAAGAAGTTTGTATAAAAATATAGTTATTTTAAATTAAAAACTCAAAAATGAACTCATCAGATTAGACATGACTATGGTGAGAGTTCATAAATATTTCAGAATGCATTACAGAAAATTTAAAAAAAAGGAAAATGTGGACAGAATGATGAAGAGACATGGAAGATACAGTGAGAAAGTGTAGCATGTGTTTAGTGAGTGTTCTCATAGAAGAAGGGAACTGGGAAGGGACAATATGTGATGATATTTTGGGTGAAAGTTCTCTAGACTTTTGTAAGACACTAATCTGCATATTCAAAAATTCTATGCATGCTAAGCAAGCTATAATGGAGATAAACCTACACCTATGTATCTCCTAGAGAAATAGTAAACAACCAGGAAGGGAAAAATATTTCAATTAGCACTAGAAAAATGAAATTACTTTTAGTTATATTGAAATCTGAAAAAATGAAAGGTAAAATAAACAATATTATTTGCTAAGAATAATAATGCCATTCTGAAATTCTCAACGAAGAAAAATATTCATCAACCTATGGCTAAATAACATATTTAGAGACAGAAAACAAAATGCCACCAGCAGAATTCCACTAAAGAAACTAAAGAGAATCTCTGAAAATATTCTTCAGAAATGTTGAAGTTCTGAAATCAAAGAGTGAACACAGAGCAAAATATATTGTAAACATACAGATAGATCTAAATAAAAAATTAGGTGTTGAAACAAAAATATATTTAAAATTAGATAATCACTGCAATATGTATGTTAGGAAGAAAATTATTAGGGCTGGAGTATTCAAAGAACCCTTAACTGTCTGACAAGAACAGAAAAGTGAGTATGACTTTGCAACTCTTTTTCTTTTTCGAATGGAATGGAATGGAATTGAATCTAATGGAATTGAATGGAGTGGAGTGGAATGGAATGGACTGGGAGCTGAGATTGTGCCATTGCGCTACAGGCTGGGTGACAGAGTGAGACACTCTCAAAAGAAAGGAATGGAATGGAAAGCAGTGGAATAGAATGGAATGGAATGGAATGGAATGGAATGGAATGGAATGGAATGGAGTGGAGTGGAGAGGAGTGGAACGGAGTGGAATGGAATCGGATGTAATGGAATATAGTGGAATGGAATGGAATGGAATCATCATCAAATGGACTCAAATGGAATTATCATCGAAAGGAATCATCATCGAATGGAATCGAATGGAGTCATCCTCGAATGGAATCGAAAGGAATCATCATCAAATGGACTTGAATGGAATCATCATCGAATGGACTCGAATGGAATCATCATTGAATGGAATTGAATGGAATAATTGAATGGAATCGAATGGAATCATCATTGAATGGAATCGAATGGAATCATCCTCAAATGGAATCGAATGGAATCATCAATGAATGCACTTGAATGGAGTCATTATCAAATGTACTCAAATGAAATCATCATCGAATGGAATCGAATGGAATCATCATCAAATGGAATCATCATCGAATGGAATCGAATGGAATCATCATTGAATGGAATCAAATGGAATCATCAAATGGAATCGAATGGAATCATCGAATGGAATTGAATGGAATCATCATCGAATGAAATCAAATGGAATCATCATCGAATGGAATAGAATGCAATCATCAAACGGAATCAAATGGAATCATCATCGAATGGAATTGAATGGAATCATCCAATGGAATCAAATGGAATAATCATCGAATGGAATCATTGAATGGAATCAAATGGAATCATCAAATGGAATCGAATGGAATCATCATCCAATGGAATTGAATGGAATCATGGAAGGGAATCGAATGGAATCATCATTACATGGAATCGAATGGAATCATCATCACAAGGAATCGAATGGAATCATCATTAAATGATATCGAAAGGAAACATCGAACGGAATCGAATGGAATAAATCAAATGGAATCGAATGGAATCATCATTGAATGGAATCGAATGGAATCATCCAATGGAATCAAATGGAATAATCATCGAATGGAATGGAATGGAATCATCATCGAATGGAATCAAAAGGAATCATCAAAAGGAATTGAATGGAATAATCATTGAATGGAATCGAATGAAATCCTAGAATGGAATCGAATGGAATCATCGAATGGAATCAAATGGAATCATCAATGAATGGAATCGAATGGAATCATGGAATGGAATCTAATGGAATCATTATCACATGGAATCAAATGGAATCATCGAATGGAATTGAATGGAATAATCATCGAATGGAATCGAATGGAGTCATGGAATGGAATAGAATGGAATCATCATCGAATGGAATCGAATGGAATTATCGAATGGAATTGAATGGAATCATCATTGAATGGAATCGAATGGAATCATCATCGAATGGAATCAAATGGAATCATTGAAAGGAATCGAATGGAATAATCATCGAATGGAATCCAATGAAATCCTCGAATGGAAGGGAATGCAATCATCGAGTGGAATCGAATGGAATCATCATCGAATGGAATCGAGTGGAATCATAGAATGGAATCGAATGGAATCATCATCGAATGGAATCGAATGGAATCATCGAATGGAATTGAATGGAACAATTATCGAATGGAATCGAATGCAGTCATCCAATGGAATCGAATGGAATAATCATTGAATGGAAACATCAAATGGAATCGAGTGGAATCATCAAATGGAATCGAATGGTGTCATCATCGAATGGAATCGAATGGAATCATGGAATGGAATCAAATGGAAACATCATGGCATGGAAGCAAATGGAATCATCAAATGCAATCGAATGGAATAGACATCGAATGGAATCATCTAATGGAATCGAATGGAATCATCAAATGGAATCGAATGGTGTCATCATCGAATGGAATCATCTGATGGAATCGAATGGAATCATCATCACATGGAATCGAATGGAATCATCATCAAATGGAATCGATGGGAATCATCAAATGGATCAATGGAATCATCAAAAGGAATCAAAAGGAATCATCTTCGAATGGAATCGAATGGAATCATCACTGAATGGAATCATTATCAAATTGATTTGAATGGAATCATCATTGAATGGAATCGAATGGAATCATCGAATGGAATCAAATGGAATCATCATAGAATGGAATCAAATGGAATCAACGAATGGAATTGAATGGAATCATCATCAAATGGATTCGAATGGAATCACCCAATGGAATCGAATGGAATAATCATCGAATGGCATCATTGAATGGAATCATATGGAATCATCGAATGGAATGGAATGGTGTCATCATCGAATGTAATCATCCAATGGAATCGAATGGAATCATTGAATGGAATCGAATGGAATCATTGAATGGAATCGAATGGAATCATCGAAAGGAATCGAATGGAATAATCATTCAATGGAATCAAAAGGAATCCTCGAATGCAATCAAATGGAATCATCAAATGGAATCAAATGGAATCATCATCAAATGGAATCATGGAATGGAATCGAATGGAAACATCATCACATGGAAGCAAATGGAATCATCAAATGCAATCGAATGGAATAAACATCAAATGGAATCATCGAATGGAATTGAATGGAATCATCGAATGGAATCGAATGGTGTCATCATTGAATGGAATCATCCAATGGAATCGAATGGAATCGAATGGAATAATAGAATGGAATTGAATGGGATCATTGAATGGAATCGAATGGAATCATCATCAAATGGAATCAAATGGAGTCATCCAATGGAATCGAATGAAATCATGATCGAATGGAATAGAATGGAATCATCAGATGGAAACAAATGGAATCATCATCAAATGGAATCAAATGGAATCATCGAATGGAATTGAACGGAATCATCATCGAATGGAATCAAATGGAATCATGAATGAATGGAATCATTATCTAATTGAATCGAATGGAATCATCATCAAATGGAATCAAATGGAATCATTGAATAGAATCAAATGGAATCATCAAAAGGAATCAAATGGAATCATAATCGAATGGAATCAAATGGAATCAACGAATGGAATTGAATGGAATCATCATCGAATGGATATGAATGGTATCATCCAATGGAATCGAATTTAATAATCATCAAATGGAATCATCGAATGGAATTCTATGGAATCATCGAACAGAATCGAATGGTGTCATCATCAAATGGAATCATCCAATGGAATCGAATGGAATCATCGAATGGAATAATTGAATGGAATCGAATGGAATCATTGAATGGAATCATCATGGAATGGAATCAAATGGAGTTGTCCAATGGAATCGAATTGAGTCATCATCACATGGAATCAAATGGAATCATCGAATGGAATTGAATGGAATCATCATCGCATAGAATCGAAAGGAATCATCATCACATGGAATCGAATGGAATCATCATTGAATGGTATCAAAAGGAATCATCGAATGGAATCAAATGGAATCGAATGGAATCATATTTGAATGGAATCGAATGGAATCATCATCGAATGAAATCAAAAAGAATCATCAAATGGAATCGAATGCAATCATCATCGAATGGAATCGAATGGAATCATCATCGAGTGGAATTGAATGGAAACTTCAAAAGGAATCGAATGGAATAATCATCAAATGGAATCAAATGAAATCCTAGAATGGAATTGAAAGGAATCATGGAATGGAATCGAATGGAATTATCATCAAATGGAATCAAATGGAATCATGGAATGGAATCAAATGGCATAATAATCACATGGAATAAAATGGAATCATCGAATGGAATCGAATGGAATCATCATCGAATGGAATTGAATGGAATCATAATAGTATGGAATTGAATGGAATAATCATTGAATGGAATCGAATGGAATCCTCGAATTTAATTGAATGGATTCATCGAATGAAATCGAATGGAATCATCATCGTATGGAATTGAAATGAATCATGGAATGCAATCAAATGGAATCATCATTGAATGGAATTGAATGGAATCATCAAATGGAATTGAGTAGAATCATCATCGCATGGAATCGAATGGAATAATCAAATGGAATCAAATGGAATCATCATCACATGGAATCGAATGGAATCATCATTGAATGGTATTGAAACAAATCATCAAATGGAATCTAATGGAATAAATTGAATGGAACCGAACAGAATCATCATCAAATGGAATCAAATGGAATCATTGAATGGAATCACGATAGAATGAAATCGAAAAAAATCATTGAAAGGAATCTAATGGAATCATCATCGAATGGAATCGAATGGAATCATCATCGAATGGAATCGAATGGAATCATCAAAAGGAATTGAATGGAAAAAACATCAAATGGAATCAAATGAAATCCTCGAATGGAATCGAATGGAATCATCGAATGGAATCGAGTGGAATCATCATTGAATGGAATCAAATGGAATCATTGAATGGAATCAAATGGAATCCTCATCGTGTGGAATCAAATGGAAACATCAAATGGAATCGAATGGAATCATCATCAAATGGAAGTGAATGGAATCATAGAACATAATCGAACTCAATCATCAAATGGAATCAAATGGAAAAATCATCGAATGGAATCGAACAGAATCATTGAATGGATTTGAATGCAATCATCATCAAATGGAATCGAAAGGAATCATCAACGAATGGAATCTAATGCAATCATCATCAAATGGAATCGAAAGGAATCATCAACGAATGAATTGAATGGAATCGTCAAAATGAATCGAATGGAATAAACATCGATTGGAAACAAATGGAATCCTCGAATGGAATCAAATGGAAACATCGAATGGAAATGAATGGAATCATCTTTGAATGGAATCGAAAGGAATCATGGAATGGAATAGAATGGAAACATCATCACATGGAAGCAAATGGAATCATCGAATGGGATTGAATGGAATAATCATCAAATGGAATCACTGAATGGAATAGAATGGAATCTTCGAATGGAATCGAATGGTGTCATCATCGAATGGAATCATCCCATGCAATCGAATGGAATCATAGAATGGAATCATAAAATGGAATCAAATGGAATCAACAAATGGAATCGAATGGAATCATCATCGAATGGAATCGAATGGAGACATCCAATGGTATCAAATGGAATCATCATTGAATGGAATCGAATGGAATCATCAAATGGAATTGAATGGAATCATCATCGAACGGAATTGAATGGAATCATTGAATGGAATCGAATGGAATCATCATCGAATTGAATCAAATGGAATCATCATAGAATGGAATCTTCTTCCAATAGAATCAAATGGAATCATCGTTGAATGGAATCGAATGGAATCATCGAATGGAATCAAATGTAATCATCGAATGAACTCGAATGGAATCATCACCGAATGAAATTGAATGGAATAATCAACTGGAATTGAATGGAATCATCCAATGGAATCGAATAGAATAATCATCGAATGGGATCATCGAATGGAATCAAATGGAATCATCGAATGGAATCGAATGGTGTCATCATCAAAAGGAATAATCCAATGGAATCAAATGGAATCATCGAATAGAATCGAATGGAATCATCATCGAATGGAATCGAATGGAATCATGGAATTGAATCGAATGGAATCATCATTTCATGGAATCGAATGGAATCATCATCACGTGGAATCGAATGGAATCATCATCGAATGGTATTGAAAGGAAACATCGAATGGAATTGAATGGAACAAATCGAATTGAATCAAATGGAACCATCATCGAATGAAATCAAATAGAGTCATCGAATGGAATCATCATCGAATGAAATCGAAAAGAATCATCGAATGGAATCGAACGCAATCATCATCGAATGGAATCGAATGGAATCATCATTGAATGTAATTGAATGGAATCATTGAAAGGAATTGAATGGAATAATCATTGAATGGAATTGAATGAAATCAGAATGGAATTGAATGGAATCATCGAATGGAATCAAATGGAATCATCATCGAATGGAATCGAATGGAATCATGGAATGGAATCAAATGGAATCATCATCGCATGGCATCAAATGGAATCATCACATGGAATCGAACGGAATAATCATCGAATGGAATCGAATTGAATCATCAAATGGAATCGAATGCAATCATCGAATGGAATCGTCATCGAATGGAATCGAATGCAATCATCATCAAATGGAATCGAATGGAATCGAATGGAGTCGAATGGAATCATCATCAAATGGAATCGAGTGGAATCATCGAATGGATTCGAGTGTCTGTTCAGACAGGTCTGGGGGATATCTAAAGGACTCATGAAAGGCTGTTTTTTTCTGTGTTGCTAGAATAAAGAACATATAAGGAATGGACATTTTTAAGAAACTCTGCAAGGAGACCTAACAAACCACGGATGCTTAGGGCAAAAATTAGAGTTTACACATATAGTAGATCACCTTCAGCACAGGAAGAAAAGTTGGAGAAGAGTATTTGGAAAACTAAGACATTCAAAATCATTCACGTACATGGGAGAGTCTAGAAAGTCACATGTATGCATAGGTTAAGCCATATGCTGAAAAATGTCATAAGAAGACCCTACACTTTTACCTTGGCCGATCCCTCCCCTCAGTGCAAGCTCTGTGCAAGAGTGAACTTGAACTTCACTCAGTGCAAGAGTGAACGCACACTTTGTGGCGGCTTTAAAGAACCCAGCACAAAGCTAGTCTGCATGGCCTAGAGACATATTTTGCTGGATAATGATTACTTGTTTTTCTTTGTTTTTGTTGTATTTGCCTGTTTTCTTAGTTCCTGACATACAAGAAAATCACTGTCAAAACATTAGCTTAACATTTGTTAAGGAAACAAAAAGCCTTTGGTGACCACACCTTATAAAGCAAACAGTTTTGTAAATCACTTTGGAAAATTTCACTAAAAAAAATCCTTAACAATATAATAAGAAAAGAAAATTTAAAACCACAAAACATTACTGTGTTTGTAGGGGGGGTTCTGATTTACAGAGTAACCACATAGTAATTGTAATTATTATAATGTCCAGTTTTCAAAAAAAGTTACAAGGCATACAAAGAATGGGAAAGTATGGCTCATTCAAAGAAAAAAAACAAATTGACAGAGAATATCTCTAAGGAAACCCAGACATCAAACTTACTAGACAAAGACTTTAAAACAACTCTCTTCATTATACTCAAATGTCAAAAGGAAAACATAAACAAAGAAATCAAGGAATCAGAACAAATATTAAAAAGTAGGAATATCAACAGAGATAACAAATTCTGGAGCGGAAAACTACAACGATAAAAATTTAAAAATCACCAGAGGGATTTAAGAGTATATTTGCACACACAGAAGAAGACATGAGCTTGAAGATGAGAAAATGGAAAATATTGACTCTCAGAAACAGATAAAAAATGAGCAGAGACTAATGAATCTGTGGGACATCATCAAATAGATCAACATTCATATTCTAAAAGGATAAATTATGTTGTTGAAAACTTTAGCATTCTTTCTTTTCACCTTTCTTTCTTCCTCCCTCCCCCTCCTCCTCCTTTTTACTTTTCTTCCTCTTCCTTTCTCTTCTTCTGTCTCTCCTTCATTATCCCTTTTGCTCTGTTTCTCTTTCTCCCTTTCTCTTTTCTTTCAATTATCTCAATTACGAAGAGATGTTTAAATACCCTTACCATGTGAGTTGATATGGTTATTTCTGCCTTTAGTTCTTTTTTGAGATTTATAGTCACTCTAAGTAAAGAGATAACCCAAACATAAGCCTCATAAACAGGCTTCCATACCATTCTTAATTTGGTCCTGTAATTCTTCATTGCTGTGTTAACTTTCTGATGCTTTTAAGGATGTTTTATAACAAATTGTTTAGTTTTTTCCAATGGAGTGTTTATTCTGAATTATCTAATTCATATTGTAAGTATAGAGGGAGTTTAATATAAAATTATTAAGCTGACATTTGTGAAAGAATGTATTTGTGCATTTAACAAATATGTTAATCCTCAGACTGTTATTGGGCAGCTGAGCATACAGCAATAAAAATAACATAATTTTTATGTGTGCAATATTTATGGAATACGTTACTGGACCAAATAAATAATTTAGTTAATAACATGACAAAGAACAGAAATTGTATACACTATAGAGCATAGTAATGGAATAATGAATGATTAAAGTTATTAATATTAGGTAGAAAATAAAGGGTATCTTTGAGAGCAGAAATCAAGGAAGCAAGCAATTCGCCTTACGAGGAAAGAGTTACCTGTGGATAAAGGAGAAACTGAAAAATTTACAAGTCAAGACTTTTTGAGCAAAAACAAAAATATGATTATTAGTCACCAATTCAGTACAGTGAAAAAAAAGTTGAAGAGATATCTTGGAAGTAAACCATGTTGTGGAAGAGCATGTAGGGTTTTGATAATCATGGGATTATTCTGAATTAATTTTAAATGCAATAGGAATATATGAGATAATTTCAGCAGAGAATAACATGATCGTGTTTGCATTTCAAAGGGGTGTATCTGGTGCACCGTGTAGAATAAATAGGTTATGTGAGCAAATAAATTAGGAGGCTATTGTAATCCAGAGAAAAAAGGCAGTGACTTAGGTGAGAATGCTGTCAGGATGAGTGGTATTAGTGGTGAGAAGTCGTTAGGCCATGGATGTATTTCATAGGACTGGCCAAGAGAACTGCAGCTAAATTGGAGTGTAGGGAATGAAATGGAGAACTCAAAGATGACTCTGAGCACTGGAAAGTGACAGCTGTCACTGAAGCATGCTGATGCCTCTTATTAAGAGAGTTACTTGGGAATGGCAAGATCAAGACTTCTCACTTTCAAATTTATGAAAAATATTGTTTTCAGAACGAATGACTTTGGGATCAGAAAGCCACCATTCTAATTGATGGTTCCACGACTACACGGGCTCACACTCCCAAGAACAAAAGTAAATAATCACAAAGGTGCTTCCTGATAATCTAGAGAATGGAGAATTACTGTAACATCTTTCTGATTTTAGGAGAGGTAGCAGTTCCCTGTTTAGCCTAAACGCTATTTTTTTTAAAGCTCAGCAAAGAGACTCCAATATAATTTTCAAACGTGTGTAACTTAAATTCTCATATGAAATACCACTATGCTTAAATTAGTCAAAACATTTTCCCTATCTACAACTCTATCTTGTCACTGCAATCATTTTCACAAAAGTGACTGCAGCTCACAGACACTAAAAGGAGAAAATCCAGGGTAGGTTACCTGATCTAGTTAGTTTCGAAGACAGGATCTAGAGATTATTTAATATGAAATAGGTCACCTGAAATGTTTACTGAAAACAGCTTGGGTCAGCCCAGTTTTCTACCACTGAACCATGCATTTGGTTTAAAAAACACAACAACTCTGGGGAATATCAGCTGCTTCCAACTGTGTTGAAGGTGTTAAAGAAAAAAGCATAAAATAAAAAATGATCATCTGAGGCCTTTATAGTCTCTGCTCAAGACACTAGAGTCTTCCATTCTTAATGAAACACCCAAATATCTTAATAATTGGGCAAAATCTAAGTATCAGAGAGATAATTTTATCTTGAAGATTGTTAAATTATAATGGTGATTCACTACCTTGCCACGTCTCTGAGTCAAAAATTAGGTATTTGTTTAGGAATCAATCATAATCTGCAATTTGGAAATAGGAAGATTTTAGAAGACTCAGACATTGACTTTCTTGTGTGCAAAAAAAAGACGTATTGAGATAAGACAAGTCTTTCCTTGCAAGGATACCTCTAATGCTCATACACCACCTCCCCTAACATTAATAGAGCTTCCAGGTCAGTAACCAGTGTCAGAGAGCAGCCCATGCAACTACAAATTCAATAGATGTCGAACACAGGGTCAAGCCTAGAATAAGAAGTCTTAGCTAATTAAGTATGCTTTTTTCCCCAAACTCATATTAACAAAAACTTGGATATGTCAGAGAATGCATTCTAAGTTCACTCAACATAGGAGGGAGAAACATAATTTTAAATTAAGAGCTGAAGCATTCTTGTCCTAACAGAAAGCAAGGAAAACGAAATATCACACCACAGGAGGGATTTCACAAATTAGTGTCAACATCAAAACCTTAAAATAGGCAAGGAGAATGGAGATTCACAGTGAACTCTTGTACTTGTTTTATTCAGAGAAGAGATGGTTCTGAGAGAATGACAGTGAACTAACCCCAGCTGGTTTAGTTGGTGCTTTCAACTGCTGCTTCTGATCAACTTCTTTAGCTAGAAAAAATTGATGAGGATTTTGGCATGTGGTATTAGAGATGGTTATTAACTTTTTCCTCTTATTTGCATTGTTCAATGTAGTAAATACTAGCTGTGTGTGGCTACTTCAATTCAAATTAATTACAATGAAATATACTTAAATATTGAATTTTTTAGTCACTGTTGGTTCATTATTGAATATCTTCAGCTAAGATTTCCCATCTAAATACACTAAGAGGTGGCTTAGTTAACTGGTTGTCCACAAATATTGAAGCTGTTGTTAACTCCTGATATATTCTCTGCAAAGAGAATATTCATGAGCCTCCTCCTGAAATCAGCAGCCTAGAGACAGTTTTATAAATTGGATACAAGTTGGAAATCTATATACTCTTTAAGTTTTTGAAATATTAGCTTCCCAGGGAAGAAAATCAAATTCATAAGATATGTTAGGACAATTTAACTCAAGATGTTCAAAACTGAAATGACATATTCTACAATATGTGATAAAACCACCCCCTAACAACTTAAAGCAAAACAGGGATTGACCTTAAAGACCTGCCTTTTCCTCATCCCCCAGCCAATCAGTTTTCAAATCTTGCATTTTATTTTGAAAGGTTCTTATCCCCCTGGTCTCTTGTTTCTAGATTTGGCACATATTTTTGTTACCTCTATCTACTGACTTTTCTCTCTTCAAACAGTATCTATGCCTGCCAAATGTGAACATACAAAAAACAAATCAGAATGTGCCATTCTGATTTAAACTGCTTATTAGTTAATACCCTCAAGGCAACATCTGGGTTCTTGGCTGCAATGAGTCAAGCCTACTTACATCTTTTTTTGTCTTTGGCTGCACATTTCCTATCACATCACACTCCAGCAATGCCAAGCTGTGCCGGCCTTCTACCCCATCTCCACTATTTTGCCCTCCGCCGCCGCGGCTTTTTGCACCCCCCCCCCCCGCCCCTCCCCGGCTTTTTACTCTCTGAGACTTTTCGCCCCCCGTCGCCGCGGCATTTTGCCACCCGCCACCGTGGCTTTTTGCTGCCCCGCCGCCGCGGCTTTTTGCTGCCCCGCCGCCGCGGCTTTTTCCCCACCGCGGCTTTTTACCGCCCGTCGCCGCGGCTTTTTGCCCACCCGCCGCCGCGGCTTTTTGCCCCCACCGCTCCTCGGCGTTTTGCCCGCCGCGGCTTTTTGCGTCCCCGCCGCCGCGGCTTTTTACCACCCCCCCCCACGTGCCGCGGTTATTTACCCGCCGCAGCTTTTTGCACCCCCGCCACCACGACTTTTTGCACCCCCGCCGCCGCGGCTTTTTGCCCCCCGACGTCGCTTTTTGCCCGCCGCGGCTTTTTGCCCCCCCCCGCCGCCGCGGCTTTTTCCCCACCGCGGCTTTTTAGCCCCCACCGCCGCGGCTTTTTACCGCCCGCCGCCGCGGCTTTTTGCCCCCCCGCCGCCGCGGCTTTTTGCCCCCCCGCCGCCGCGGCTTTTTGCCCCACCGCCGCCGCGGCTTTTTGCCCCCACCGCTCCTCGGCGTTTTGCCCGCCGCGGCTTTTTGCGTCCCCGCCGCCGCGGCTTTTTACCACCCCCCCCCCCACGTGCCGCGGTTATTTACCCGCCGCAGCTTTTTGCACCCCCGCCGCCGCGGCTTTTTGCACCCCCGCCGCCGCGGCTTTTTGCACCCCCGCCGCCGCGGCTTTTTGCACCCCCGCCGCTGCGGCTTTTTGCCCGCCGCGACTTTTTGACACCCTGGCATTGCGGCTTTTTGCCCGCCCCGGCTGTTTGTCCCCCGGCCGCCGCGAGTTGTTCCCCGCCCCGGGTTTTTGCCCCCCCGGCGCCGTGGCTTTTTGCCCCCCTGCCGCCGCGGCTTTTTCCCCGCCGCGGCTTTTTGCCCCACCGCCGCCGCAGGTTTATGCCCGCCGCGGCTTTTTGCCCCCCGCCGCGGCTTTTTGCCCACCGCGGCATTTTGCCCCCCGCCGCCGCGGCTTTTTGCCCCCGGACGTCGCTGCTTTTTGTCCGCCGCGGCTTTTTGTCCCCCCCGCCGCCGCGGCTTTTTGCTGGCAGCGGCTTTTTGCCCCCCTGCCGCCCCGGCTTTTTGCCTCTGCGGCTTTTTACCCGCCGCGGCTTTTCGCCCCTCGCTGTCGCGACTTTTTGCACCCCCCCCGCCGCCGCAACTTTTTGCCCACCGCGGCTTTTTGCACCCCCGCCGCCGCGGCTTTTTGCACCCCCGCCGCCGCGGCTTTTTGCCCCCCGACGTCGCGGCTTTTTGCCGCCCCCCGCTGCCCCGGCTTTTTGCCGGCCGCGGCTTTTTGCCCCCCGCCCCGCCGCGGCTTTTTGACCCCCCCGCCGCCGCGGCTTTTTCCCCACTGCGGTTTTTTGCCCCCCGCCGCCGCGGCATTTTGCCCCCCGCCGCCGCGACTTTTTGCCCGCCGCGGCTTTTTGCACCCCCACTGCCGCGGCTTTTTGCCCCCCGACGTTGCGGCTTTTTGCCGCCCGCCGCCGCGGCTTTTTGACCCCCGCCGCCGCGGCTTTTTGCCGGTCGCGGCTTGTTGCCCCCCTGCCACCGCGGCTTTTTGCCCCCACCCCCCGGTGCCGCGGTTATTTGCCTGCCGCGGCTTTTTGCCCCCGACTGCCGCGGCTTTTTGCCCGCCACGGCTTTTTGCCCCTCGCTGCCACGGCTTTTTGCCCCCCCGCTGCCGCGATTTTTTGCCCCCCGCGGCTTTTTGCACCCCCGCCGCCAAGGCTTTTTGCCCCCCGACGTCGCGGCTTTTTGCCGCCCCCCGCTGCCCCGGCTTTTTGCCCGCCGCGGCTTTTTGACCCCCCCGCCGCCGCGGCTTTTTCCCCACTGCGGTTTTTTGCCCCCCGCCGCCGCGGCTTTTTGCCCCCCGCCGCCACGGCTTTTTGCCCCCCCGCCGTCGCGGCTTTTTGACCCCTGCCGCAGCGGCTTTTTGTCCCAAGGCCATCCTCAGAAGCATGAGTGGAACAGAGTGAAGGGAAAGCTATTTTCTTCTAAAGCTCAAAAATCTTGAACTTTCAAATAGGAATAAGTGTTATTTTTGCTCCAAGCACACATTTGAGAAATCTTCCATTTAGCGGATCTGATGATAAACCCACATTTTTTGTTTGTTTTAATCTGAAAATGTATTTGTATGGTTCTTGGAAATTTTTTTTGCATATAAAATTATATTTTATCAGCTTATTTCAAGTTTTATTTACCATTTTATAATTACTCCTAAAATGTCATTGATTAAAGAAAGAATCATCTATTGCTCCAACTGTTCTTTACTAAAGGTAATTTTCTTTTTAACCTCATCAGGCTCCTTTTAAGCTCTCAAACTGACCTTATTTTTTTTTTACAGATTCAATGCATTAAGTCAATTTATTTGACTGAATTTATTTATGTATTTATTTTCGCTATCACAAGTAGAAAAAGCCTGTAAGTTGCTATGCCAAAATCCTGCCTCTAGATGGCAAACAAACCCCACAATACACAAAAGAGAGCCAAATTCTTAGAAACCCTGGGAAAGGAAGAGGGCTACTGTCCCATTAACAACTTGGAGCCCTTAAGGCAAGAATGAGGTGGAACATCTGGAACATCTGGGAGGAGACAGCAGGGTGCAGAGTAGTGGGGAACCTGCTCTGTGCTCTGAGACTGAAAGCCCAGCCTTGCCTCTCACCGCTGCCTTGACTGTGTCCCCATCTGCTGTGAAGTGAATGGTGTCTTCTAAATTCATGCTGAGCCCTAATTGCTGAAAAGTGTAAGACATGCAATGGGGGGATTATGTGCATCTTCCTGACACCAACATGATGCTGAGGAAGGAGACTTCTTGTTTTCTCTTAGGATTCTTTTACTAACCAAGATTTTGCCTCTACTGCGTATTTCCCTTTGCTGATTGTCCCTCCCTTTTGACAGAAGATGGCCCAGGGCATTCACTACTAAGTCTCAACCTCTTACCCAAAGTCGTCAGTCTAGGGTTGCTCTTTCCTTCATGCTATTTTTGTGTGTTTCTTTTCTTGTAATCATCTTGGCAATAAAATAATCACTTTTTTCTTTCTACCTATTAAAGATGTTACCTTAGTTAATTACAGTGGTTTCCTTCAGAATGATAAATAGTCTTTCAAAATGATGTAAAGAGATCTAAATCCGTGTGCTCCAGAAGTTGAAAGAAGCTCTGTCTAGCACGGGTGCCAGTGACTCTCCCAGAGTGCTCCATGCAGCTGGCCCCACAGAGTCCCTCTGTGCTGTCATATCACCCACTGCCTTCTGTGAATGAGATATTCTGATTGGAATCCTGGTGGATGCTATTTGAGCCAGTGCCCCCACAACTCCTATGAAAGCCGAGGACCACAGGCCCCTGAAGACAATCACAGGTCTCTAGACTCACAGCTCATGACCGTCCTCTGCAGACACAACTTCTCCCCGGATGGCTGAGGGTTGTCATTGTCTGTGTCCTTCCTTGTGCATGACAACAGGAGACATAGAAGGTCTGTAAGCAGCCCTGCAAGCCAGTTTCTGAGCAAGCCCTCCTGTGTGGGGCCCTCTTACCTGGACATAGGTGCGTAAACCAAAAATGAAACTCTAAGCTCCCTAACCAACTGAATGAACTCCTCCTCTCAGCCAAGGACACACCAAAATCAACTTGAAATACAATGCAGTCCATGATCGGAATGGATGATTGGATATGCCTTAACTTACCCTCTTCCCTTTAAAATTCAGGCACAACTGACCAGCTTTTAATATGAAGACAGAGACCTTGAGACTGACAAAGAAAACTCTTTATACCAATAAGATACCAATGTGACAGATACCACGTCCTAAGAGAAATCAAAGTATTTTCCCCAAGATATTGTTATTTAATGTATTTAAAAATGCCTCTGCAAAGCTGGTTCTTGTGGGAAAAATCTACATTCTGTAGAGATTCCTTTTTAAGTCTCTTTCCTGACCCAGAGAGATTTAACTAAGAGTTTGGCACCTTTTAAGTCTACTAAGAAACAATTACAATCTATTCTCTCTGAAGCCTGCTACCTGGAGGCTTCATCTGCATGATGCAATCTTGGCTCCAAAACCCTTTTTCTAAACCCAGAAACTCCCTTGTGTTGATTACAGGTCATTAAATAAACTATTTCAACCACCTATGAAATCTTTGAATCCAACTATGACCTGGAAGTCCCCAACATCCCCCCTCCTTTGGGCTGTCCTGTCTTTCCATATCAAAGCAATGTACAGCTTACACGTATTGATTGATATCTTATGTCTCCCGAAAACGTGTAAAATCAACCTGTAGCCCAACGACCTTTGACACACTTTCTCAAGACCTCCTGAGGCTGTTTCACTGATATTTCTTTAACTTTGACAAAATAAATTTCTAAACTGATTGAGACTTTTCTCAGATACTTATTTGTTTATAGGTATCACTGGATACACTTAAGGAATTGAAGAGATTTATGACATTGAGAAAACTAGGAAGCCAGGGTGTGTGGAGAGAGAGAGAGAGAGAGAGAGAGAGAGAGAGAGAGAGAGAGAGATTGTGATGTATGTACAGGACTAACACTGAGACCTGGTTATGTAATGGTGTAGTACTGAGTATCATCCCCAAATAGTGAGGTTTCATTCCAAGAAGACTACGCATGTATCTCATTTGGGAAAACAGCTTTTGCAGGTGTAAATTAAGGAGCTTGAAACAGGGAGATGGTCTTAGATTAATCAACTGGGACTTAAATGCAAACTCAAGTGTCCTAAAAAAAACAAGAGGTAGAGACACATTTAGCATAGACTGAAGTGGAGAAGGCAATGTGAACACAGAGACAGAGATTGCAGTGATGTGTCCACATCCCGGGAGAGAGAAGCCACCAGAAGCTGGAAGAGCTAAATCAGACTGCTCCCTAGAGCTTCAGAAGGAGCCAGAACTGATGACTCCAAGATCTTAGCCCAGTGAAACTGATCTGGACTTCTGAACTATGAGAGATTCCATTCCTGTTGTTTGAAGCTACCACATTTTTGAGAACTTGTTACAGTAGCCCAAGGACACTAACAAAAATGGGGCTCCGGGAAAATCCAGACTAAAGGTGTTGTGTTGGTTTGCAATCTCCTTGCTTAACTTTCTGATACTAGACATAAATAGATCAGTGAAAAATTTTGTGATTGAAGCAATGTACATGAAACCTACAGTGTACAGAGAAGCATCTGTTAGTTATAAGATAAATATTGATAATTTTAGTTGAAAATGACATATGACTGTTAATATCTCACATAACATTCTGAGTTACTCCAGAATGCATAAAAGGGGCACTAGATACTCTTCTCATGTATGTGTGTGTGTCTGTCTATACATGTATGTACACTTCATGGTGCATCAGCTGGCGGAACCCTCAGGACACCCCTTCACATCCCCAGTGCTCCATTTCACACATGAGGAAACTGTTCATGACAGCACATGGCTGATTTGCATAAAAGTCACTTGGTCAGCAGTTGTTGAAGCTGAACTTGGAATCTAGGTCTGTCTGACCTTAACTATGTTCCTTCCACAGAGCCACGTTCATTCCATAGAGGAACCCACCACCTATAAAACCAGAAAAGAGACAAAGCCAGAAGTGCAGGTTGGATTTCTTAACACAAGCTCACTGCGACCTCTAGTCCTCATCACGCTGACACTAAGCTTAAACCCAGACCCTTCTACAGTTTTGTCTACAAAGCACAATTTGCCCAAAGCCTTTACAAACACCAACAGCCTTTCTTTCAGATATGGCAGCAGGGTCACATCTTACACGGCCCTGATCACATTTTCTCTCCTCTGCCATCCCCATCTCTCTGACTCAGTCCTCGCTTGCAGCCATAAAAATGGATGAGTTCATGTCCTTTGTAGGGGCATGGATGAAGCTGGAAACCATCATTCTCAGCAAACTATCGCAAGGACAAAAAAACCAATCACTGCATGTTCTCACTCACAGGTGGGAATTGAACAATGAGAACATATGGACACAGGAAGGGGAACATCACACACCAGGGCCTGTCGTGGGGTGGGGGGAGGGGGGAGGGATAGCATTAGGAGGTATACCTTATGTAAATGACGAGTTAATGGGTGCAGCACACCAACATGGCACATGTATACATATGTAACAAACCTGCACGTTGTGCACATGTACCCTAGAACTTAAAGAACAATAATAATAATAAAAAAAAGAATGAGTCTTGTACATCTAATTTGCCTCACAAATGTTAAAACAGCAAACCCGCATCCCCTTCCTCTTCTCATGTGCTGTGAGGGATGACCTCCAGGCTCTCAGATACTAAGATTGTACAAGACCTAACCCAGAGAATTACTCAAGACACTCTACATAAGAAGAATTGTGGTGCTAGCTCTCCTCATAGAAAAATATTTTCTGTCTCTTGTTGAGATTGACAGCAAACACAAAAACACGGAACTATTTGGGAGAACAGAAGACAGTGATACACTAGGGAAGTAAAACACACCCCTTCCCCTTGCATTGGTTTCCTGTTGCTGCTGTAACAAATTACCACAACCTTACTGCTCCACATAACACAAGTGTATTATCTTACATTTCTGGAGGTCAGAAGTCTCAATGAAGTAAAATCAAGGAGTAATAGGGCTCTATTCAGTCTAGGCTTCAAGAGAGAGAATCCAATATTGAGCATTCCGTCTTTCTGATGTTCCCACATTCCTAGCAGCCTGGCCCGTTCCTCCACCACTCCAGTTTCCCTGTCCATTGTCCCAGGTCCTCTCTGGCTGTTACCTTCCTCCCTCCCTATTGTAAGGACCCTTGTGATTATGATGGTCTCACCCAGATAATTCAGGATACTCTCCTGACCCCAAAATTCTCAACCATGTCTGCCGACTTATTTTTGACATATTCATAAGTAACGATCATAGATTCCAGATATTAGGACAATGATGTCTTTAGTGGGTGTATTATTCATTCCACAAACAACTCTCATCATCCACACAATGGTCTTCCCCTAAGGTAGAATAAAAATATCACAAGGCAGATTTATGAGGCGATCGACCTAGAAAAAACCTGAGACTCTAGGACTGTCTGATGTGTGGATGTCAAATCCTGGGAGATTCTGAGTCTCTGCTCTATGTGGACTCTATGTTGTGTAGCCATTTGTGGAAGGCTTCTGTGATTTTGTGACCTAGAGAAAATGAATCTCTGCTAAAATCAAATCTAAGAAAGATTGGCAAAGGGAATTTAAACATTTCCTAAATTTTTGGAATTTCCCTAGGCATTAAAACATGAGAAGTGGCAATAATTCAAACCAACGATGCCCTCCAAGAATAAGGATTTTTCCAATGCATTAGGTTGGGTCCCCTCAGTGAGAAGGATGCCAAAGATTCGCATGCAGACAGTATATTTACAAAGTGCGGGAAACAAGCAAGTGAGCAAGGGAGGGGAGGAGGGAAAGGGAAAGTGAAAGGTGCCTCAGAAGGAGCCACCTCTGAGGATGACGAGAGCTCAAGCCCACATAGAAACACAGGAAAAATGCCTCTGTTATTCCACCTGAGAGGTGAGGGAGCTGGGGGATGTGTACACCTCCCTTGTCATCACTGATTGACAGCCGTCCTAGGGGATGCTAATTCCAGGCCATGAGGTCTGCCTCATTTGCAGCCTGAGCTGCTTCCCCAGGTTCAGATAGAGCAGTGAAGGGGAGAAAGGGCCATAGAGAGTCAGCTGAAGTATAATGACTAGAATCCCCAAGGCGTAGTAACAATGACTGCTAAAATTATGCACAAAGAAAAAGCGCATTTGAATCCAGAGATGTATCTCTCTGAATCTGGATATATGGATCCTGGCAGCCTGTTCAGTAGCCATTTCCCAGAAATCCAGTCCTCTGGAAAAGCAGCAGGAGGTTTGTGCACAGGCTGCACTACCTTGGTCTGGCCACTGGTAGTCGTGCATGAGAACTACTCCCTGGAGTATTTCTCAGTCCACTGACACTGATGTAATTGGCTCCACTTCCCCTGCTGTTGAGCCAGGCCAACATGCCCTGGACAAAGGCATCTGTGTGAAGTATTGAGGTTCAAATCAGTGCTTAAGATATGTTTGGATGCAAAATACTTTTTCATCTACATGGGCAGTGTCTTGGCAGAAGATGGAGATTCTCTCTAAATGGATGTGAGACAGGGTGGCTGGCATCTGGGTCAGGATGATGCCCTGGTGCATGGCAAGAACATGCATTGGGCAGCAGCTGCCCTCACTAAGGAGAGAGGTTCACTGACCTGGCTTTTCACCCCTCACCTGCTCTCCAGAAAGCCAGACTCTAGGGCAGATGCTCCTGAGACTCCAAGAACAGTCTGGTGGGGAGCGCAGCTGAGAGCATTACTCAGGGGATGTGGCTTTTGTCATCCTACTTTGAAACAATTGACTATCTGAGCCTAGATTGATAGAGGGCTTCAAGTTGATTTTAATCCAGGCTCCTATAGTCAGCGAGTGAAACAGAGATTTTAGTTGAAATAATGACACCTGGTATTACTAGTCAGCTCTCCATGCTGGAGAACCATAAGAAATTATACCAAAGGCAGGAAAGGGGATAGATAGAATATGGGGATCATCACGCCAAGAATAAGGTGCAGCCCATTTAGCCCCTGGGTCTTAAAGAGACCCATAGCTCTGGATAATGGCAGATCTATGCCTGACACAGTTATCATCTTTGTGCATCTTCAGAGAATTGTTTTTCCTTTTACTCCTAGGAACAATGTCTTAAGTTTGTTAGTAAATTCTATTTAATTTATTAAAGATGCTGCTGATAAATTCTTTTTATATTCATTTCAAAAAAGAAGCAATTTCACACCGACAGAGACATTGTTATTATAGCACTAAATACTTTTACACTCATCAAATTCCTTTGAGACTAACTGAAATTTCTGACAGCCCTACATTCTACTACTTTATTGTAAATTTTCTGCCAAAAAGGATGCTTTCCTATACACTCCTAATACAAGTATAAATATATTATTTAATCTAGTCTTAGGTTGATTTAAAATTTTGAAAATTCACTCCAAAAATATGTTCTGTAACCATATGGCCACCAATGAGAAATGTATTCTTTCAAGGTAAATCTGTGCTGCCCTGGTCTGACCTGGGACTCTGGGGATACTGCGCCCGTGTGCTGAGTTACTGAGATGAGCCAGCCCTGCAGCTGTGCTCAGCCTGCCCCATCCCCTGCTGATTTGCCTGTTCCTAGAGCACAGCCCCCTGCCCTGAAGAATTTTTATAGGCTGTTCACACCCGGTGCAGGAGTCAGCCCCAGTCAGGACACAGCACAGAAGTGAGGGCCCCCACTCAGCTCCTGGGGCTCCTGGTGCTCTGGCTGCCAGGTAAGGAAGGAGAACACTAGGATTATACTCGGTCAGTGTGCTCAGTACTGTCTGGAACTTCAGGGAAGTCCTCTGATAACATGATTAATTGCAAGAATATTTGTTTTTATGTTTCCAACTTCAGGTGCCAGATGTGACATCCAGATGACCCAGTCTCCATCCTCCCTGTCTGCATCTGTAGGAGACAGAGTCACCATCACTTGCCGGGCGAGTCAGGGCATTAGCAATAATTTAAATTGGTATCAGCAGAAACCAGGGAAAACTCCTAAGCTCCTGATCTATGCTGCATCCAGTCTGCAAAGTGGGATTCCCTCTCGGTTCAGTGACAGTGGATCTGGGACAGATTACACTCTCACCATCAGCAGCCTGCAGCCTGAAGATTTTGCAACTTATTACTGTCAACAGAGTGACAGTACCTCTCCCACAGTGTTACAAGTCATAACATAAACCCCAAGGAAGCAGATGTGTGAGGCTGGGCTGCCCCAATGCTCTTTCTGGTGCCTCTATCTGCTGAGGGAAGTTCTCAAACTCAGTCAGGTTTGGAAAGTCATTGGGAGATTTTCCTAGAGGAGGTCAGGAGGTTCCTCTGAACCCTAAGCCTCTTTCGCCCTCATCCCCAGCAGAAAAGACGTGACAATGCCTGTCCTGACTGAATAAAGAAGAGAGATAAGTCCAGCTGAGGAGTCTGTGTTATGGGATAATCGGAATTTGTACAGCAAAAGAGAAGCTATTCTCAGTATTTCAAGGAGAAATTATTCAAGTTGAATAAATTAGAGTCTAAACCACAGTCTTTCCGAAGCCTGTGGAGTGTTATTCATGAAGTAGGTACTAGACACAGGGGATTCTCAGGTGCTACTTCAGAAGCCATGGTGCACCTGCACCTGGTGGTATGTGCTGAACACTGTGTGATGATCCTCGGTCCTGTCTGGGAAGCCCAGGGCTGGGGGTGCTGATGCTCTCAGCTGCCTGCAGCACATCTCCAGGTGATTCTCCAGTCCACACCTAACTGCATGTGTTTTACTTCAGGTGTCAGTGTACATGAATCCACCACTCTGACTTCCCAATCTCATGACAGTAATTAGTTGTAACTTATTGTGACCTCATGGAGCAACTCTGAAGAAACCATAGAGAGAAAAGGAGTTTTGGAAAATGTGCTCCCAGAAGTGATAGTAATGATGGGGAATTGACAGCTGACGGGGAAGTAAGGTGACTCTTTCCACAAGGCTCAACATTTTGCCAGTTATGAATTGTTGCAAAATACATTTGAATGTGCTTTCAAGTACTATCAGTTTGGGGTCATAGCTGAAAAACTTATCTTAAGTCACAGATAAAATGGGAAAATCAGGAAATTGTATGAAATATACAATAACACTGTGTGTGATGGCTCAGGTCTGTAATCCTGTGATAGTTAATACTGATTGTCAACTTGATTACATTGAAGGATGTAAGCATTGCTCCTGGGTGTGTCTGTGAGGGTGTTGTCCAAGGAGATTAATATTTGAGTCAGTAGTCTGGGGAAGGCAGACCCCCTACTTAATCTATGGGCACCATTTAACCAGCTGCCAGTGAATATAAAGCAGGCAGAAAAAAGTGAAAAAGTGAGTCTGGCCCAGCCTCCAAGCCTACATCTCTCTCCCGTCCTGGATGCTTCCTACCCTTGAACATCGGACTCCAAGTTCTTTAGTTTTGAGACTGGAGCTGGCTTTCCTTACTCCTCACTCCTCATGCCTGCAGACAGCCTGCTGTGGGACCTTGTGATCCTGTAAGTTAATATGTAATAAACCCATATATATATATTGAACTTATTAGTTTTGTCCCTCTAGAGAACCCTCACTAATACAGATTTCGGTACCAGGATGGTTCTGCAGGAACAGAATATTAAGGTTGGAGTTCTTTTGTTGGTTTTGGGGTTTCTGGATTTGGCTGCTAAATATGATTAGATCCCAAAATGCTAAGGACTCTACTTTTAATAGTGTAGAGAACATTGACAGTTCTTGGCATGAAAGGTTTAAACAGCTATGCAAAACAAATTCATTTGACACTAATGAATCATCGCTCTTGAGAGGCAAGGAGTTTAGTGACTCTGTACCTAATACCCTTGACAAACACCTTGCAAAATAGATTTGTGAGGACAGCACCTGCATCTTTGAAGAGCCCTGTAAAGGCTCTTCTCTGTATGTCAGATCTAATGGTGAGAACTGCAGTCACTCAGTTACAAAAGTTAAATACAATTTGGAATAATTGGATCCTGAAGTGGCAGGGGCCAAGTGTTAGCACTCAACCCTCAAAGGCACGGTGAGCGTAGCTACGGTAATGGGCAGAAAAGACAAAGCAGCAATCTGAACAGTCTGACTCATGTAGAGCTCTGGCATTGGCTAACTAATCACAGTTTTCCTAGAAGTGAAACTGACAGGAAGACTAATGCATTCCTACTTAATTTATGTAAGGAGGAAACTTAAGGTCAAACAGATAAAAGACTAATTGGAGTTATAAAAACAGAGATTCATGGCCCCTCAATCAATTTCCAGCCTTGAGCCAGTTTACAGACCCAGAACCCCTTGAATGAAGGGGAGGCTGAGTCCCCCTGAGGTGTCCGTGGCAGATAGGAATGCTGCTTTGAGGCTTTGGCAGGCATCCTTAGGTGAATCATGGTGGAGGCCTCTAGTATTTTGCAGCAAGGCCCGGTCATCTTCTCCAGTTAACTACTCTCCTTTTGAGAGACAGCTCTTGTCCTATACTGGGCTTTTGTGGAAACTGAACATTTGACTATGAGTCAACAAGTCACCATGCGACCTGAACTGCCTATTGTGAACTGGGTGCTTTCTGACTCATGTAGCCATAAAGTGGGTCATGTACAGCAGCATTCCATCATCAAATGGAAATGGTGTATAAGTGATTGGGCTCAAGCAGGTCCTGGGGGGCACAAGTAAGTTACATGAGGAAGTGGCTCAAATGCGCATGGTCTCTACTCCTGCCACCCTGCCTTCTCTCCCACGGCCAGCACTGATGACCTCATGGGGACTTGCCTTTGAGCAGTTGACACAGGAAGGGAGGACTAGGGCCTGGTTCACAGATGGTTCTCCACAATAGGCAGGTACCACCCAAAAGTGGACGGCTGAAGCACTACAGCCCCTTTCTAGGACATCCCTGAAGGACAGTGGTGAAGGACAATCTTCCCAGTGGGCAGAACATTGAGCAGTGCACCTGATTGTGCACTTTGCATGGAAGGAGATATTTCCAGATGTGCGGTTATATACTGATTCATGGGCTGTAGCCAATGGTTTGGCTGGATGGTCAGGGACTTGGAAGAAGCATGATTGGAAAATTGGTGACAAAGAAACTTGGAGAAAGAGTATGTAGAGGGACCTCTCTGAGTGGTCAAAAACTGAAGATATTTGTACCCTGTGTGAGTGTTGACCAACAAGTGACTTCAGCAGAGGAGGATTTTGATAATCAAGTGGATAAGATGACCCGTTCTGTGGATACCACTCAGCCTCTTTCCTCAGACACCCCTGTCATTGTCCAATGAGCCCATGAACATAGTGGCCATGGTGTCAGGGATGGAGGCTATGCATGGATTCAGCATTGTGGACATCCACTCACCAAGGCTGAACTCTCTGTGGCCACTGCTGAGTGCCCAATTTGCCAGCAGCAGCAGAGACTAACAGTGAACCCTTTGTATGGCATCATTCACTCGGGTGATCGACCAGCTAGCCGGTGGCAGGTTGATTATATTGGACCTCTTCCACCATGGAAAGGAGAGAGGTTTGTCCTCATTGGAACAGGCACTTACTCCGGATATGGGTTTGCCTACCTGCATGCAATGCTTCTGCCAAGACTACCATTTATGGACTCAAGGAATGCCTTATCCACTATCACGGTATTCCACACAGCATTACCTCTGACCAAGCACTCACTTTACAGGTAAAGAAGTGAGGCAGTGGGCTCATGCTCACGGAATTCACTGGTCTTACCATATTCCCCATCTTCCTGAAGCAGCTGGATTGATAGAATGGTGGGACGGCCTTTTGAGGTCGCGATTACAACGTCAACTAGGTTACAATACTTTGCCGGGCCGGGGCACCATACTCCAGAAGACCATGTGTGCTCTGAATCAGCGCCCAATGTATGGTATTGTTTCTCCCATAGCCAGGATTCACAGATCCAGGATTCAAGGGGTGGATGTGAAAGTGGAACCACTCACTATGATGCACTAGCAAAATGTTTGCTTTCTGTTCCGACATTAGGTTCTGCTTTACTAGTCATCTTAGCTCCAGAGGGAAGAGCGCTGCTACCAGGAGACACAATAACGATTCCATTAAACTGGAAGTTAAGATGGCCACTTGGACGCTTTGGGGTCCTCCTACCTTTAAGTCAACAAGCTAAGAATGGAGTTACAGTGTTGGCGGCAGTGATTGACCCAGACTATCAAGATGAAGTCAGTCCGCCACTCCACAACGGAAGTGAGGAAGAGTATGCATGGAATATAGGAGATCCATTAGGGCGTCTCGTGGTATTATCAGGCACTCTGATTAAGGTAAATGGGAAACTACACCCAATCCAGGTAGGACTACAAATGGTCCAGATCCTCTCCGGGTCACGACCTGCTGAGGTGCTTGCTGAAGGCAAAGGGAATACAGAATGAATAGTGGAAGAAAGTAGTTATCAATACCAGCTACGACTACCTGACCAGCTGCAGAAATGAGGACTGGAACTATCATGAGTATTTCCTTCTTCTTTTGTTAAAAACATGTTTGTGCATGTATGCACTTGTACTAAGAAAATATCTTCATTTCATTTCCCTTTTCTTTATCAGGTGACATCGATTTGCTGACCTCATATCAGTATTTAAGTATTGTTTACTGTATGTAATAGTATTTGGGTTGGGGATTGGTGCATTTCCAGTTGTAGGAAGGATAGTTTATTATGTTGGGGTAATTATGATCTTACTATTGTCTGTAATTTAAGACTATGTATGATCTCAGGAGATGTGTGTGGGTTCAAGTTCACAAGGGGTGGGCTTGTGATGGTTAATAATGAGTGTCAACTTGATTGGATTGAAGGATGTAAAGTATTCATCCTGGGTGTGTCTGTGAGGGTGTTGCCAAAAAAAAGATTAACATGTGAGTCAGTGGGCTGGGAAAGGCAGACCCACCCTTAATCTGTGTGGGCACAATCCAATCAGCTGCCAACCCAGCCATACTATAAGCAGGCAGAAAAATGTGAAAAGAGACAGGCCTCGCCTCCCAGCCTACATCTTTCTCCCATGCTGGATGCTTCTTGCCCTCGAACATGGACTCCAAGTTCTTCAGTTTTGGAACCCTGGCTGGCTCTTTTTGCTCCTCATCCAGCAGATGGCCTATTGTGAGACTTGGTGACTGTGTGAGTTAATACTTAATAAACTTCCTGTATTAGCCAGTGACATCTAGAGGGACAGAACTAACAGGAGATATATATATATATATATAGATAGATAGATAGATATAGATATATATATATAGATATATATATATAGATATATATATATATATACATACACACATACATACATATATATATGCACACACACACACATATATATATATTTATTTATAAAGGGGAGTTTATTAACTTATAGGATCATAAGTTACACAATGGGTTGTCTGCAAACTGATGAGAAAGGAGAGCCATGGAGTCCAATGTTTGAGGGCAGGAAGAAACCAGCATGGGAGAAAGATGTAGGCTGGGAGGCTAGGCCAGTCTCTCCTTTTCAAATTTTTCTGCCTGCTTTATATTTGCTGGCAGCAGATTAGATTTTGCCCACCAGATTAAGGGTGGGTCTGCCTTCCCCAGCCCACTGACTCAAATGTTAATCTCTTTCGGCAACACTCTCACAGACACACCCTGGGTCAATACTTCATATCCCTCAATCCTATCAAGTTGACACTCATTATTAACCATCTCACTCCCCTTCATATATATATATGTATATAGTCCTTTAATTCTGTCACTCTAGAGAACCCTGACTAATACATCTACACTTCTGATGGTCTATTTCTTTTATTTTAGGTCATTTATTTCCCCTGGGTTGCCTACACTCGCTTCTTCCCACTCCCCTATGAAGGACAATATAAGCCTCTGGACCTCACTAAGTCAGGGCATGTCCCTGCTTGCACTATGCATGACACTTACCTCTTTTACTCTTTAGCAATGAGGGAATGTCATCCTTACCCAGATGCCAGCCACCCGTCTCACATCCAGGACAGAGAGTCTCCATCTCCTCTCCAGCAAATACCCATGTATGTGGGCATGGTGGCATGTCCCTGTGATCCCAGCTACTCCATAGGCTTAGTGGGGAGAATCACTTGTGCTTGAGAATTCAAGATTGCAATGAGCCATGATCACACCACTGCACTTCATGCTGGGTAACTGAGTGAGACCCTGTGATTTTTCCCCTACATTTTACAGATTTTTTTTTACTCTTTCTTCTATTAATTTATGTTTTGTCCATTCATTTTCTGCAAACCTTTAGAGGGCAAATAGGAAGTTTCCCTTTTTAACGTGGTGGCTCACGCCTGTAATCCCAGCACTTTGGGAGGCCGAGGTGAGCAGATCACCTGAGGTTGGGAGTTTGAGACTAGCCTGGCCAACATAGAGAAACCCCACCTCCACTAAAAAAAATACAAAATTAGCAGGGTGTGGTGGTGTGCACCTGTTATCCCAGCTACTCAGGAGGCTGAGGCAAGAGAATTGCTTGGACCTGGGAGGCGGAGGTTGCAGTGAGCCCAAATTGTGCCACTACACTCCAGCCTGGGTGACAAGAGCGAAACTCCGTCTCAAAAAAACAAAACGAAACAAAAACAAACAAACAAAAAAACCCTACTGCCTCACTGAATTAAAGGCGTGTTCAGCAGTTTCTTTGTTATTTCAAAGAGTGGCATCTGCTTCAGCAGGGTCAGTTTTTAATGTATTTGTTTTGTTTCTTTTTTCTCTGGTGTTCTTTTTTATTTTATTATAATTTTTTAAATTTGAGGGATGAGGTTTTCATAGTACTGAATATCAAACAATGAATCCGCATGAATGATTCACCTAATTTCCTTGGTTTTAGTCCTCTATACAGGTTTTATATAGCAAAAGAACCATTTAAAGACTTGGGTTACAAATGTATTTTATTTTACCTCTGGCATGCCTTGGCCTGAGAAAGCATTATATGGTGGCACAATATTTGTAACATTCTCATCGCCATCTGGTGGTGGTTCGAGGTATGACGTTTTGAAAATCTAGCAAGAATTAAAATATGTCAAGTTAGAAAGAAAAATTCCAGATTATTATTAAGATATAATTCATTTTGCCCCAAGTATATACTTCAGACTAAGCATCCTGGAACTAGGTTCTATAATTAAATAGATAAATTACACTGACAACAATGAGAAAGAGCCTTATCATTATTATTGTCTTCCTAATAATAGAAACTTTTATAAATGCATGCAATCCCAGGTAACCAAAAGTTTCCTTATAAAGTGTAACAGCGGAGCCTCAAAGGTGGCACTTTGGCAAGCCTCTTTTTTTGACTATGGCTTTTCAGCTTCCTTTGTGGGCTCCTTTTCTTTCATCTTTATTTAAATAATATTTCCTTATGTTTTATCCCCAGCCCGTTGCTTGCCTCTGTACTGCCTCCCTGCGAGACTTCATTAAGTATCAGAATTTTACCCATAGCTCATATGCTTATGATGCTTACCTTTTCAGATTCGTATATTTAAATGTTTTGTGGTTATTTCATTCTGGATGTCCTAACTCAACATGTTAAAATTCAAATTTATCATCTCTCACCCCGGGCCTGCTTTTGGTCTGCATTTCCTACCTCTATTAATAGCTTCAGTCATTAGCCACGGACACCAGACAGTCTCGGAGTCATCCTGAACTCTGTCTTCCCCTCCTTCCCCAAGTCAATCACTAATCAAGTCCTGCTAATACATTACCTTACTATTTCTGAAATCCATCCCTCTTCCTCATTCCTACTAACATCCTAATTTAAAACTTTATTATCTTTTACCTGGACTATTGTCTTAAGACAACAACTTTAATCCGTTGCTTAGCCTAGGTGTAATCCACAGAGGATCTTGTCTGTCTAAAATGCCCCTCTAGCCACATCCTTCGCCTGCTCAGATCTTGTCATTGGCTCCCATGAACTGAAGTTGAAGTTCAAGCTCCTTAGGACAGCATACACGCGCTTCTATGATCTGTTCCCAGAACATATTTACTGGTTTATTTCATATCATGGCCCACTTTGTATTTTACACTTTTGAAATACAGACAATCATTACATTCTCCCAATAGTACTAAGCTAGTGTATGCCTAAAAGCCTTTGCCAATATTTTATCTTTTGTTGAGAATTCTCTTAGCTTATTTTGTCACGTGGTTAACTCCTTATGTCCTTTCATGACTCACAAGTCAAGACTTCAGGAAACCTTCTCTAACTCCCAGGCTGGGCTGAGTGACCCTTTTCTGGGTAAATAATGAACTCTAATCATACTCTTCATAGCACTTACCATACTAATTTGAAGTCTGAAGTATTCCATTGTCTGCCTCACTTTACTTAGGCAAAGGAACCATGTCCTAGTCTCATTCTGGCCTCAGGAGTTCAGCCTGGGTGACAGTGGGAGACTGTGTGTCAAAAAAAAAAAAAATTGCCAATGATTGAAGCCTAATACTGAAGATTCTGGTTTATTAATAATTAGTCTGTTGCTGGGTGTTAATTGAGCTCCCCAAGTGATTACTCATGTAGGACTTCAAACCAATAATTTAGAACCTTGTGACTCAAAATCTGGGCAAAAATAAGCAGCATCAGTATCACCTGGGAGCAGCTTCCGGTCTCATTTTAGATTTACTCTGAATCTAAATATTATATTTTTATTAAAAAAAAACAAGAACAGATGACAAGCTTCAACTACATCTAAATTCTTTAGATTTACTTTAAAAGAATCAACATTTTGACACAATACCAAAGTGAACTAAATTCGCTTTTTTTTTTTTTTTGAGACATAGTCTTGCTCTGTTGCCCAGGCTGGAGCGCAGTGGTGCAATCTCGGCTCACTGCAACTTCCACCTCTCCAGTTGAAGCGATTATCTTGCCTCGGCCTCCAAAGTAGCTGGGATTACAGGCACATGCCATCATTCCCGGCTAATTTTTGTATTTTTAGTAGAGACAGGGTTTCACAATGTTGGGTCAGCTGGTCTCGAACTCCTGACTTCAAGTGATCTGCCCACCTCGGCCTTCCAAAGTGCTGAGATTATAGACATGGGCCACGATGCCCAGCCTAAATTTGCTTTAATTTGGAGTACTGGTCTAGAAAACACAAATTCCAAGGAGACTCAGGTTCTTAAGTTGATTTCTTGAGTACAAGTTCTTCAAATGCATTCTCCAAAATTAATTTTTTTTTTGTACTTTTTAAATTGACAAAGATTATACATATTCATGGCTATACGGGGATGTTTCAGTACATGTAGATGGTGATCAGATCAGGGTAATTAGCATATCTATCATCTCAAACATTTATTATTTCTTTGTGTTGGGAACATTCAAACTACTCCTAGGTATTTTAAACTACATAATATAGTATCGTTAACTATAGTCATCTACAGTACTGTAGAACACTAGAACTTATTACTCCTACCTAGCTGTAATTTTGTATCCATTAACAAATCTCTTACTATTCCTCCTTTCTCGCTACCCTTTTCAGCCTGCAGTATCCTCTGTTCTACTTTTTACTTCTATGAGATCAACTTTTTTTTAGCTTCTGCGTGAGTGAGAACATGTGGTGTTGAAATTTCTATTCCTGGCTTATTTTGCTTAACATAATATCCTCCAGTTCCATCCATGTTGCTGAGAATGACAGGATTTTATTTATTCTTTTTTATGGCTAAATAGCATTCCTTGGTGTACATATACCACATTTTAAAAATCCATTCATCTGTTGTTGGAAACCTAGGTTGATTCCATATCTTGGCTATTGTGAACACTGTTGCAATAAACATGGGGATGCAGATGTCTCTGCAATATAATGCTTTTCTTTCCTTTGGATAAATACCCAGTAGTGGGATTGCTTGAGGGGTTTCAATACTGTTCTCCATACTGGCTGCACTAATTTACATTCCTACCAACAGTGCATAAGAGTTCCTTTTTCTCCAGCTACTCAGGAGGCTGAGGGAGGAGAACTATTTGAACCCTAGAAGCAGAGGGAGCCAGATTACACCATCACTGCACTCCAGCCTGGACAGAGAGTGAGACTCTGTCAAAAAAAAAAGTCCCTTTTCTTCACGTCTTTGTCAGCATTTGTTATTTTTGTCTCTTCTATAATAGCCATCCTAACTGGAGTAAGATGATGCCTCACTGTGGCTTTGATTAGCATTTCCTTGCTGATTAGTGGTGTTGAACATTTTTTCATATATTTGTTGGTCATTTGTATGTCTTCTTTTGAGAAATGTCTGTTCAGAGCATTTGTTTATATTTAATTAGATTGTTGTGCTTCTTTGCTGTTGATATGTTTGAATTCCTTGTATATTCTTGATATTAATTTCCTGCCGGATGAGTAGTTTATATTTTCTCCCATTCTGTAGGTTGTGTTTTCACTCACTTTATTATTTCCTTTGCTGTGCAGAAGATTTTTAGCTTGATGTGATCCCATTTATTTATTTTTTCTTTTGTTGCCTGTGCTTTTGATGCCTTATTCATAAAATATTTTCCCAGAGCAGTGTCCTGAAGGATCTCCCCTATGTTTTATTCTAGTAGCTTTACCATTTTGGGTCTTATATTTGGGTATTTGAGATACTTTGAGTTGATTTTTGTATAGGGTGAGAGGCAGGGGTCTAGTTTCATTCTTCTGCATATGGATACCCAGTTTTTCCAGCACCATTTATTGAAGAGACTATCCTTTCCCCAATGAGTGTTCTTGGCATCTTTGTAAAAAATCCGTTGGCTGAGATATGTGGATTTTCTGGGTTCTTTATTCTATTCCATAGGTCTATGTGTCTGTTTTTATGCCAATACCATGATGTTTTGGGTTACTACAGTTTTGTAGTATATTCTGAGGTCTGGTAGCATGATACATCCAGCTTTGTTCTTTTTGCTTAGGATGGCTTTGGCTATTCAGGATATTTTTTGATTCCATAAAATCTCTTTGGATTTTTTTAATTTTGTGAAGAATGTTCATAGGTATTTTGATAGAGATTGCATTGAATCTGTAGGTTGCTTTTGAGTAGTACTGTCACTTTAACAACGTTCATATTTCTGATCCATGAGTATGAATGTCTTTTCATTTGTTTGCATCCTCTTTAATTTCTTTCATTAGTGATTTGTAGTTTTCATTTTACCTCCTTGGTTACATTTATGTCTGGGATTTTTTTTGGTAACTATTGTAAATGGGTTTGCCTTCTTAATTTCTTTTTCAGCGAGTTTGTTGTTCATATATATAAATGCAACCAATCTTTGTGTATTAGTTTTGTGTCTTGCACAAATAATTTCTTTATCTTCTAGTTCTGGAAATACCAGGTGCTGTGTATGTAAAGCAGGAATTTTGGTTGAATATTGTATAATTTTCTGACCCCCTGTTACTAATCCAGTTTCCCCTGTACTCTGATCTTCCATGCTACAGACAGACTGACAGATGCTCAGCAAATAGTAGCTAATATTTTCTAGGAAACTAGGTGCTAAACGAGTTTTCTTAAATTTCTACCTCCAGGTCTGTAAGTTGATTTGAAGCATTACCAGTTTCTGGTTCTGCACAGGTTGTTGAGCGCAGGACTTCTCTCTTCCAGTGGAAAGTCCACCTGCTCACAAACAACCATCCTTTCCTGCGGCCTTCAGACACTGCTCAGTGTAGCACCCCTCCCAGTCTAGAATAAGCACACTCATCATCAGTCTCTCTCATTTTCTGTCTTATCTCCATTCCTTCTACACACAGTTTTTGTTTTTGCCAATGTTTTTAAATAAACAACTGTACAAGCACAACAATGACAACAGAAACCCTCCTTCCTCCCAGTGTTGTAGTGAGCAAGGAATATATTTAACTTCAAATAAAAGACAAAAACAAATGCTGGATAAAGCTGACGGAAAGAAATGAAACTGTAGGTGCTCTGGCAATATAGAAATGATACAACTAAGAAAAATGGAAGAAAAGGAAAGAGAAAGTATTCCTCAGAATGATTTTACTGACTGCTCACTGTAATGCCTGGGAGTCAACGGATATTGTTTATAGAAATGTAAGCATACTTAATGGCACCAGGGGAAACAAAGTTAATATGATTAAATCAAATTGTGGGATGAAAAATCACATAAGGAGGACAAGAAAGAGAATACAGCTAATACCATTGTTCTTAGTTTAGAGACATTAGCTACTGTCTAAAGAAAGAGATGATTTTATGAAATTACATAAGGTAGCCATCAGAATAAAAGTTTAACTCTTCCAAATATCACAACATCAAAACAAAAGCAATAAAAACAAACAAGACAGCAAAAGACAGATATGTACATATAAATCATAGCATAATATACTGTAATCAAAATATAACCAAACACAATTTATCATTAAAAGTAAGTGGGCTTGACTCTTATTAGAGGAAAAAATATTGTCAGATTAAATCAAAAAGCAAATCTCAATTCTATGCTGGATATAAGATAAAGTGTTACAGAAAGTTTAGAAATAAAAGTAAAGGCAATGAATAAAAGGATCTTCTCTTCATGCGTTAGGAGTATAAAACAGTAAGTAAACACATCATACAGTTTCTGTTTTTACACTTAAATGGCTGGAGATGTTACACCACTAGTATGAATTTACTTCAGATATATAAAGGATACACTTTTATGTGGTTAGAAACAGCAATGATAATAGTTAAGGTGAAAATAACATCTGCATTGACGCTAGGAAGAAAGAGCCATTGTTGGGTACATAGTGATCACATTACCATGGAGCAATCTGTTCCCAACTGAAATGCCCTTGCCCTTCTATTGAAATCATGTAAGATTCTGCAAAAGTAGTGTTTACTTCCCACAAATCAGCCATTTGTGGGAATGGCTGCTATTGTTGTCCACACGGAATCAGCATCAGACCTATATTTAGCTGTTGTATCATTAAGAGTCATATTTGGCCCTTTCCAGAGGCTGTTATTTCAATTATATTTTGGAGAATTAGTCTATTTGCAGACAAATAATTTTACCAGAACTTTGATCCATATGAAATGACCCTTTGGTAGGGATCCAGGGATTGAGTTTATTTTTAATTACTATAGCATCCTGGTCAGGTTGAGAAACAGATTACCTTTATATTTCCCTGGCATGTGAGCAGGGCTAGATTTAGCGTGAGAATGCTTGAAAGTTTATAGTTTTTTAGAAATTTTATTTACTGTGTGTCTCTTTATCAAAATAAAATTAATTCTGAAAAGCTCTATTAAATGAATTATTTTGAGATGGTCTTTTCCCCTTCATCCAATGAGAGGATATCCACAGATATGTCAGGAGCTTGCTTTACGTAGAAATGTGTTGAGGGCCACAGGTTTGGGTTCACCTGGGAATGTTTAGGGACACCTCCCCAAGTTGTTGTTGAAGAGTGGGGTAAATGTAAGATAGAATTAGGCTCACGGAGACCAGATGAGAGCATCATGTCACCCCAGAAACACAGCATATACCTAGGAGATCTGTTCTCAGTATCAAAGTCTTAAGCACCGTAAGATTGCATATAGACCAAGACAACAACTATATATATATATATATATAGTTAATAAAATCAGTTAATATATAAACATATACTTATTAACTTATTTTTATTTTTATCTTCAGACAGCATCTTGCTCTGTCGCCTAGGCTGGAGTGCAGTAGTGCAATTAAGGCTCACTGCAGCCTTGACCTCTGGGGCTGAAACTATCCTCCTGCCTCAGTCTCCTAATGTGCTAGGATGAGAGGTGTGAGTCACCTTGCCAAGCCCAGGGCAATAACTATGCAATGTTTATATAATTTGGAGCAAAAAAAATATTTGAAATATGTGTGCATTGCTTTTTAACCTTTTCTATTGATTTACTTTATTAAATACTGAATAGAAACAATATATTTATAAAATATTTATTTTATATATATAATAAGCACATAATGAACACCTGTGTCTCCAGTCTTGGTTTAAGAAATTAAGCCAAAAGTAATCATAAATGCTTATGATTACTTTTGAAGTCATCTGTACAACTTTTGCTGACTACATCCCCTTCTTCAAAACTCTAATGATGGCCACTGTGAGCACTGTGTATATTGAATTGTGTTGTATTTTAATACCGTGTGCACTACATTGTTTTCCTAGCTGGATGCTATTGCATTTAGTGAGCATAATGAATTATATCAATATAATTCACTTTTGTCATTTCATTGTTTCAGCTTTTCTGTACTAATTATTGCCAATATATTTCTACTGGCATAAAAACAGACACATAGGACAGTGGAACAGAATAGAGATCGCAGACAAATCTACATATTTACAAACAACTCATCTCTGACAAAGGCATCAAGAACATACACTGGGAAAACAACAGTCTTTTCAATAAATGATCCTGGGAAAACTGAATAACTATATGCAGAAGGATAAAATTAAACCCATCTCACCATACACAAAAATCAAATCAAATAAAAATGGATTAAAGACTTGAATCTGAGACCTGAAACTATGAAGCTAATTAAAAAAAAAAGCATAGGAAAGGCAGGGCGTGGTGGCTCACGTCTGTAATCTCAGCACTTTGGGAGGCCAAGGCAGGCGGATCACAAGGTCAGGAGATCGAGACCACCCTGGCTAACACGGTGAAACTCCGTCTCTACTAAAAATACAAAAAAAAAAAAAATATAGCGGGGCATGATGGTGGGCGCCTGTAGTCCCAGGTACTCGGGAGGCTGAGGCAGGAGAATGGCGTGAAAAAAAAAAAAAGAAAGAAAAAAAGAAAGCATAGGAGAAATGCTCCAAGACATTAGTCTGGGCAAAGATTTTTTTGCGTAAGACCTCGGAAGCACAGGCAACAAAAGCAAAAATAGGCAATGGGATTATATCAAACTAAAAAGCCTCAAGCAAAGGAAACAATCAATAAAGTGAAGCGCCAACCACACAATGGGACAAAATATTTTCAAACTATCTATCTGATAAAGGATTAACAAGTAGAATATATAAGGAGCTCAAACAACTCAATAATAAACAAACAAAAAATCTGATTGAAAAATGGGCTACTGAAGAGGCTGAGGTAGGAGGATTTCTTTTTTTTTTTTTTTTTTTTTTTTTGAGATGGAGTCTCACTGTCGCCCAGGCTGGAGTGCAGTGGCGCGATCTCGGCTCACTGCAGCCTCTGCTCCCCCGGGGTTCATGCCATTCTCCTGCCTCAGCCTCCTGAGTAGCTGGGACTACAGGCGCCCGGCACCAAGCCCGGCTGATTTTTTGTATTTTTAGTAGAGACGGGGTTTCACCGTGTTAGCCAGGATGGTCTCGACCTCCTGACCTCGTGATCCGCCCTCCTCAGCCTCCCAAAGTGCTGGGAATACAGGCGTGAGCCACCGCGCCCGGTCAGGAGGATTTCTTAATCCCAGGAGTTTGAGGTTACAGTGAGCTATGATTATGGTACTGCCCTTTAGCTTGGGTGACAAAGCAAGACCTTGCTTCTAAAAAAATAATAGTTAAAAATATATAAATAAATACAATTTAAAAATGGGCAAAAGATCTGAACAGATATTTTCTCAAAAGAAGACATACAAATGGCCAATAGGAAGATGAAAAAATATTCAATATCACTAATCATCAAAGAAATGCAAATCAAAATCACAATGCAATATCATCTCACCTTGGTTGAAATGACTTGTTTCAAAAAGACAGGCAATAACAGATGCTGGCAAGGATGTGGAGAAAGGGAAATACTAGTACACTGTTGGTGGGAATCTACATTAATAAAGCCACTATGGAGAACAGTATGGAGGTTCCCCAAAAAAGTAAAAATAGAACTACCACGTGGTCCAGCAATTTCTTTACTGGATATATATCCAAAATAAAGGAAATTAATATATCAAAGACATATCTACATGCCGATGTGTACTGCAGCACTATTCACAATAGACAAAATATGGAATCAACGTACAACAAATGAATAGATTTTAAAAGTCATATATATACATAATGGAATACTACTCAGATACAAAGAAGAATGAAATTCTGTCATTCGCAGCAACATAGGTGGCACTGGCCATTTGGCTTAACGTAATGAACATAGGCCATTGTGTTAAGTGGAATGAGCCAAGCACAGAAAGGCAAATACCACATGTTGTCACTCATATGTGGGCAGTAAAAAAGTGGATCTCATGAAGATAGAAAGTAAATCGGTGGTTGCTAGAGGCCAGCAAGGGGAGTGGGAAGAGGAGATTAAGAGAAGAAAATATAAATGTATTTATCACCACTAAACTGTCCTCTAAAAATGTACAGATGGTAAATTATATATATATTTTTTAACTCAATAAAAAATTAAAAAAATTCTGCTGTGTGTTTATAGGGCACATGTACAAGACTTTCTCTAGGGTTGTATCAGTTTTCTGTTCCTGCTGTAACAATTTACCACAAATTCAGTGGCTTAAAATAACACATTTTTGTGAGATTTGAGTCAGTTTTAAAAAACACACACAAACTTATTGTCTTAGAATTGTTTTGGTTGGAAATCTGGCATGGCTCTCACTGAACTAACATCAAGATGTTGGCAGGCTGCATTTCTTTCTAAAGGCTCTAAAAGAGCATCTGGGTTGTTGGCAGAATTCCGTTCCTTGTGGTTGTAGATCCTCAGTTTCTTCCTGGTTGTAAACTTTGGGTCATTCCCAGCTTCTAAAGGTCACTGGCTTTCCTTGGCTTGTGGCCCCCTACCACTGTTTTAAAAGCCAGTAATAGCAGGCCACATCTTTCTCATACTGCCATCTGTCTGAATCTCAGCATCCAGAAAATATTCTCTGCTCTCAAGGAATTATGAGATTAGATTGGCTCACCAAGGTAATTCAAGGTAACTTCCCCATTTCAATGACCTTAATGGTAATCACATCTGCCAAGTCCCTTTGAACATGCTAACTTACGTTAGCATGTTCACCTTATCTGAAGACTGGGATGTGGCTGTCTTTGGTGGGGGGCAATTATTCTGCCTAACCCAAAGATACACAACTTGCAGATATACAACTGGTTCATGGAGATGAAACATTTTCAAATCTACAAGAAAATGTTTTCTAAAATGAGCATTTCATATTAGACTTTCACAAGCACTGTATCAGAATTATATTTACTTCATAATGTTGCCAATACTGATATCAGATATTTAATTTTCTAGCCAGTTCAGGATAATGTGAATTGTGAATAATATATTTGTTCATTCAGTCAACAAACATTTTTTATCAGATACCACCGATATGCTGGACAGTGTCATGGATCCTAAAAATATAGCTGTTATTTTTTTTTTTAAACAAAGTCCCCACTGTGATAAAGCTTTTATTCTTTGGGACAGGCAGACAGTAATCCAGATAAATAAATGCAAGGGCAAATTGGGGGAAAAATTGGAATGGAGAGCTCAGAATCTGGCCCCAGAGAAGGGCAGAGGGAAAGGGGACCCAGTTCAGAATCTCGGTGCGTCCACACCAAACAATTCCATGAGGGCTGAGGAGACAGAGCTGAAAGGCTTGTCTGACATCACAAGAGACAGAAAAGTGAGCCCCATTTTCATCTCTATCCTGGCAATGTTCCTGGCTTGATTTCCTCCTTCCAGCAGACACAAGAATCAGGGAGCACACCCTGATGGTAAGATTTTTTTCAGAGGCCTATTTTGGGCATCCTGGTGAGAACCTGAGTCCGTCACTGACCACGGCAGCCCAGCATGGTCCCCAGTGCGTGGCCCAAGGCCAAGATTCTCTACCTCCATCCTGGAGGCAGAAGAAATGTCTGGGGGAAAATGAGAGGTTTTAGGTGGTTGGCACTGGGTGAGACCAAGGAGAAATTTTAAAGCTGTGTGTCCTGGGGCCAGGGGCGGTGGCTCACGCCTGTAATCCCAGCACTTTGAGAGGCCGAGGCGGGCAGATCACGAGGTCAGGAGATTGAGACCATCCTGGCTAACGGTGAAACCCCGTCTCTACTAAAAATACAAAAAATTAGCCGGGATTGGTGGCCGGCGCCTGTAGTCCCAGCTATTCGGGAGACTGAGGCAGGAGAATGGCGTGAACCGGGAGGCGCAGCTTGCAGTGAGCTAAGATCGCGCCACTGCACTCCAGCCTGGGTGACAGAAAGAGACTCCTTCTCAAAAAAATAAAAATAAAATAAAAATAAAAAATAGAAAAAGCTGTGTGTCCTTTGTTTCTTCATATTTTGCAGATTTTTGATGTCAAAATATTTTCATAGTCAAAAGAGTGTTAATAAAGAATGACTTCTCTGTTATAAAAACCCTAATAGTGAATGTATTTACCAAGAAGTTAGATTCTATCTTTGGTTTTTTTTGTTTTTTGCCCCGTAGTTTAAAAAAAATAGTTTTATTGTATGGATATTCTATAGTTAGTGTATCTATTCACCTCTTGATGGACATTTGGTTTGCTTCCAGTTGTTTTTACTATTTCAAATAAAGTTGCTACGAATGTTTGTCCAATCGTTTGGACATACGCTTTCATTTGTCTTGGGCAAATAAGCAGGATTTGAATGACTAGGTGGTGTGATATGTTCAATTTTTTTTTTTTTTTTTTTGAGACGGAGTCTCGCTCTGTCGCCCAGGCCCAGGCTGGAGTGCAGTGGTGCATCGCGGCTCACTGAAATCTCCGCCTCCCGGGTCCACGTCATTCTCCTGCCTCAGCCTCCGGAGTAGCTGGGATTACAGGCGCTCGCCACCACGCCCGGCTAATTTTTTGTATTTTTATTAGATACGGGGTTTCACCGTGTTAGCTAGGATGGTCTCGATTTCCCGACCTCGTCATCCGCCAGCCTTGGCCTCCCAAAGTGCTGGGATTACAGGTGTGAGCCACCACTCCCGGCCAGTTTAACTTTTAAAGAAACTGACAAAGTGGCTGTATTTCCAGCAGCGGTGTATGAGCATTCCTGTTTCTTTGTGTTCTCACCAATGTTTAGTATGGTCAGTCTTTTAAATTTTAGCTATTCTAATAGGCATGTGGCAGTATCTCATTGTAGTTTTAATTTACATTTCCCTAATGATGAATGATGTTGAACATCTTTCAATGTGCTTACGTATCATCCATCTGTATTCTATGGTGAAATGTCTGTTCAGATCTCTACATTTGTGTTAGACTATTTGTTTTCCTATTATTGAGTCCTGAGAGTTCTTTGTATATTTTGGATAACAAATGTATCTTCACCAGATATAGCTTTTGTAAATTTTTACTCCCAGTCTGTGATTTGTCTTTTTATTCTCTCGATAGCGTTTTTCTTTCTTTTTTTTTTTTTTTTTTTTTTTTTTTTGACAGAGTCTGGCTCTGTCACCCAGGCTGGATTGCAGTGGCACGATCTCAGCTCACTGCAATCTCCGCCTCCCGGGTTCACGCCATTCTCCTGCCTCAGCCTCTCCTAGTGGCTGGGACTACAGGCGCCCGCCACTACACCCGGCTAATTTTTTGTATTTTTGGTAGAGAGGGGTTTCATCGTGGTCTAGATCACCTGACCTCGTGATCCACCCACCTCGGCCTCCCAAAGTGCTGGGATTACAAGCGTTAGCCACCGTGTTTGGCCACTGGATAGTGTTTTTCACAGGTCAGATTAATTTTTATATAAATCATTTATTTTATTTTTATTATGTAAAATTTTATAATTTTTAATTTTATTTTTAATTTCCTTTTTAAAAGGTAAATAAAATTTTAAGTGTAATGATGCAAAATTTTGTTTAAAAGTAAATGCATATAAAAATGTTGATATAGACTAAAAAATTGAATAAGAAGGTAGTTAGTTGTCACAGTAGGAGTGAAGTGAAAAGCTTCCCCTTTCACCCTCTGAAGATTAACCAAAATGAACTGACCATACACAGATTAATAAAAGAAAGGGTATACAAACTTACTTAACCTGCAAAAACATGAGAGCTATACACAAAGTATAAGACTTGAAGATGGCTCAGATCTTAAACGCTCTCCTCATAGGCAATAGATATATAGACCCAGGATGCAGACATTATTTTGTAAATAATTTCCTTTGGAAGCTGGATGGGACAGAATAATTACGGGACGGTGAGAGATGGAACTGCACAGGAAAAAGTTTGTCTTTGTCACTTTAATCTTATCATTACTAGAGAATAATTATGAATATTTTAGAATAATATATTTTTAAGCCCAAACCTCACCAAATGTTTTTTCTAAAACAAATACTTTTTGTTGTTGTTTGTTTGTTTTTGATACTGTGTCTCACTCTGTCACCCAGGTATGGAGTGCAGTGGTGCAACCATGGCTCACTGCAGCCTTGGCCTCCTGGGCTCACGTGATTCTCCTACCTCAGCCTTCCAAGTAGCTGGGCTACAGGCATGCACCATCATGCCCTGGTAATTAAAGAAAAAAATAATTTTTGTTAGAGACCAAGTCTCATTATGTCACCCTGGCTAGTCTTGAACTCCTGGAATCAACTGATCCTCATGCCTTGGCTTCCCAAATTATTGGGATTATAGGTGTGAGCCACAGTGCCTGACCACATATTTAGAATTTAAGATAGAAGCTAAAATACCTAGGGATAATGATATGACTATCAAAAATTAAAAATTAAAGGACATTTTGAGTATTATAAGTTAAGAATGAGAACTTATTACCCAATGAACAGGGGATAAATCATTATGCTCCCTATCCATTGAATTAAAAGACAGGCCCATTACCTGGATAATTTGAAAGTTTAATTTTATTTAAAAGTCTTGTTTCATTCATCAAGCTAAAGGATTAGCTCCCAGAAATATTCTAGGATTGCATATCCCCAACTCTGTAGGAAGTATAGAAAGAATATTATAAGGGCCACCATCTAAATATTATTATGTAAATAATTTAGTACCATTCCATTTGCTTTTGTAGATTTAAAAATGTAAATGGCTTTCTCATATTAGGAAACATCATTTTTCAAAACCCAGATAAACATAGTATATTGCAAGAGAGTAATTATTTTCTTTATTAAAAAAGAAATACTGGATGCTAAGTCCAAAAGACATAAATTATTTTATACTAATAACTACTAAAATTTTATTCATTAAAATAAAAAATCAAAGATTTTAAAATGATCTTCAAATGATTAATAACATGTTGAACTTTTTCTTCTTTCTGTAAACCTTTTTGAGTCTTAAAAATACTAAACTATACAAGCAATATTAAATAGTATATAAACTTGGATTAAAATATTCAAATTTACTAGAATGTGGACATTGGAAAGAATGAAAATAAACAGAAGCATAAAGCAGCAGATATAAAATTAAGAAAGCAACTAAGAGTGCTTAAAGTACATATTCATCTGTAGTCTAATTTCTACCATAAACAATGACTCTTCTCAGTAAAACACAAATTGTTCATGAAGGGAAAAAGCATGTTGTATTAGAGAATATTCAACATAACTTTTTTAGTACTAACTTGTGCCTGAAGTATTATTGGTTTTTCTATTATGAACTTATGCACTTGATAATTTTTTTCATAAAGACTGTATGTACAACTCCATTCAAAAGCAGTTGTTGGTGGGTTTTTTTTTTTTTTTGAGACAGAGTTTTGCTCTTTTCACCCAGGCTGGAGTGCAATGGTGCGAACTTGGCTCATAGCAACCTAGCAACATTTGCCTCCCAGGTTCAGGTGATTCTCTTGCCTCAGCCTCCCGAGTGGTTAGGACTACAAGCATGTACCACCATGCCTGGCTAATTTTGTGTTTTTAGTAGAGACATGGTTTTTCCATGTTGACTAGACTGGTCTTGAACTACTGACCTGAGGTAACCCGCCCACCTTGGCCTCCCAAAGTGCTGGGTATGTGCAAGAGCCACCATACCCGGCCTCAAAAGCAGTTTTTAAAAGCAAACACAATATAACACCAAAGTTGAAAAATTCATGCTCACCCAAGGATGCCAGGTTTAATAAATTATTTATAGAATACTGCATCAAAAATAAGACAATAACCCAAAATATACCATTAAAGATGTATCCACTCCTACAACTAGAGATAATTAATCTATCTGGTAGCAAATGATACTTCAGTCAGTTTCAGCATGTCTGAAATCTTTAAGGACAAAAGTGATAAAACATGACTTCATTCTTCATTAGACTCTTAGAACACTTGAAGGAAAATGATTTCTGAAGCACAAAGAGGTAAAGAAGTGTAATCTTTCAAAAAGATATTCAGTGTTCAAAATCCAAGAGTGCAATATCAGGCAGGGTGCGGTGGCTTATGCCTGTAATCACAGCACTTTGGGAGGCCATGGTGGGTGGATCACCTGAGGTCAGGAGTTCAATACCAGCCTGGACAACAGGGTGAAACTCTGACTGTACTAAAAATACAAAAGTTAGCCAAGCATGGTGGTGTGCACCCGTAGTCCTAGCTACCTGGGGGGCTGAGACAGGAGAATCGCTTGAACCTGGGAGCTGGAGGTTGCAGTGAACCCAGATCATGCCACCCCACTCCAGCATCAGTAACAGAATGAGATTCCATCTCAAAAAAATAAAATAAAGAGTGTAATATCATATCGGTATACATAGATAATATACTGAATGAAACAAATAGAATAATTTGAAGAGGTATCTTGACGAACAAGGAGTCATTAGAAAGGTTGTATTCATGTCTCTGAAGGAAATTGCAGTGTGAGAAATTAATACTTTGACTACTATACTAAAAGTTTATTGCTAACATGTATTGAGTTATTAACATGTGTTAGGCAGAGTACCATATAATTTACAAGTGTTATCTTATTTATTGTAGGTAAAATGTAATTTTGAACTCTGGGAGTATAAATGAATTAGATAGAATAAAATTCTATTTAAATGGCCATCAGTAAATCGGTATCTAGGAACAGGGTGATACAGTGCCCAAGTTTTCTATTCTTACTAAATGTTGTGTTTCATTTTCAATGTTTTCTTGGATATTGCTCTTTTTTGGTGACTGATTTTTTTTTATTTTAGAAAACTAATAAACTGACTCTTCTTGGTACTGACTCTTGGGTTTTATAGAAGAAAAAGTAATCAAATTCTGTACATTTACCTTTACCTCATTTTTTCTCTTTTAAATTTAATTGACATATAATAAATGTACATGTTATGGGATACAGAGTGATATTTTGATATATTTATGCAATGCGTAAAGTTCAAGTCAGAGTCATTATCATATCCATTACCTAAATCATGTATTATTTATTTGCAGTGAGAATATTCAAAATCTTTTATTTATTTGAAAACACACAATAAATTCCCGTTAACTACAGTCACCCAACAGTGCTGTAGAGAACTAGAACTTCTTCCTTCTCTCCAGCTGTAATTTCGTATGTATTAACCACATTTTTCTTATACTCTTCTTTCTCCTACTCTTTCCAGGATATGGTAACCAAAACTCTACTATCTACTTCTACGAGATTAAAAATTTTAGCTTCCATACATAAGTGAGAACACGTAGTTATGTGGTGTTTATGTTTCTATGCAAGGCTTATTTCACCTAACATAATGCCCTCCACTTGCATTCTTGTTGCCACAAATAACAGGATTTTGTTCTTTATTATGACTAAATAATATTCCATTATATATGTATGTCATATTTCTTTATCCATTCATCTGTTGATGGACACTTTTGTTGATTCCATATCTTGGCTATTGTGAATAGTGTTGTAATAAACATGCGGGTGCAGGTAACTCTTTGATATACTGATTTTCTTTCCTTTGAATATATACTGAAAACCATATGATTAAATTAATAAACACAATAAAAGCGTTTGGCAAAATTAAATATTCTTACATGACACAAAACCTCTCGACAATTTAGTATAGAAAATATATGCCTTAACACAGAAGGACATAAAGGACAAATCTACAGCTAAGATCATACTGAGTGTGGAAAAGGTGAAAGATTTTACTGTGAACAAGAAAAAGATTTTACTGGAGCAAGAAAAAGATGCCTATTTTCACCAATCATATTTCACATAGTGAAAGTCTTAGCCAGGACAATTAGGTGAGAGAAAGAAATAAAGGACATCTGAATTGGAAACGAGACAGTCAAATTGTCCCTGTTTAAAGACAATGTGATCTTATACACGAAAAAAAAAAAAAATAAGACGCTACCAAAAGCTTCCTAGGGTGATACATAAAATTAATAAAGTTGCAGGATATAAATCAACATACAAAAATCAGTAGCATTTCTATATATTGATAGTAAACTAGCTGAAACAAGAAATTAAGAAAGCAATTCCTTTTACAATAGCTACAAAAATGTACTTAGAGATAAGTTTAACCAAGGAAGTAAAAGATTTCTACAACAAAAATGACAAATATTAATGAAAGGAATGAAGGAAAACACAAAAAAGGAAAGACATCCACGTTTATAGATTGAAATAACTAATATTCTTAAAATGACCCACTATCCCATGTGATTTACAAATTTAGTACAATCACTAGCTTGTATTTTTAAAAGCACCTTTGCTGCATATTCTTAAGATATTCAGTGACAATGCCTGGATTAAGTTTGAGGTATTATTATATCTATTTTATATTGGGCACAATATAATATTATCAGAGGTAATGGTTTTGATTGGTCCTAGGTCATACAGTAATATATACATTGTGATTTATAGACATGCTATCTTTTAATACTCAGGCATTTAGAAAGTTCATTTAGACAAAGTTATAAAAACTTGCCTTCCTTTCTGCCTATATCACCTAAAAATCCTAATTTAAGAGGTAATAACATTTTTTATTTGATATACAATTTATCAACAAAATAAAAATCTAACAATTATCATGTGCAGAGTGTGAAAATCTCATCAGATTAAGGAACACAAAGACATCTTTTTCATATTTCGAATGTAAAACTCTTTTGGAAACTGTTATTTTTAGAAACAGTTAAAAACATTTTTTCATTAGTTTTTCATGTAAAATTGTGACAACCAGCATGAAATAACTGTCATCACAGAAGCATGGTATATTCAATTCCAAAACATATTCTTAGTAAGTTTTAATATATTTATGTATTATTTATGCTTAGATTGTAACCCATAATGTAGATATTATTTTTCCTTCAACTCTTAAGAATATTCTTAAATAATAAAATTAAAATGAATTATAATTTTTGTTGGTTGGGAAAAAGAATAGACACACACGTGACAGTGCATCACTTCACCTCATCATTTCATCTCATTTCATCATTTCATCTCATTTCATCTCATTTTATCTCATCTCATCATATCATCTCATCATTTCATCTCATCATTTCATCAAATCTCATCTCATTTCCATTATTTCATTTCATCATTTCATTTCACTATTTCATTTCATTTCATCTAATTTCATTTATTTCATTATGTCACTTCATATCATCTCATTTCATTTCATCTCATCATTTTTCATACCATTATTCATCTCATCATTTCATCTCCTCATCTCATTTCCTCCTTTCAACATTTCATCTCATCATTTCTTCTCATCTCATTTCAATTTCATTTCATTATTTCATTTCATCTCATTTCATTATTTCACCTAATTTCATTATTTCATCTCATCTCATCTCAATTCATCTCATCTCATCTCATCGTTTCATATCATCATTTTTCATCTCATCATTTTTCATCTCATCATTTAATCTCATTTCATTTTGTCTCATCATTTCAGCTCATCATTTCATCTCACCACATCTCTTCATTTCATCATTTCATTTCAACATTTCATCATTTCATCTCATCATTTCATCTCATCTCATCTTCCAATTTCATTTCAATATCATTTCATTTCATCATTTCATCTCATTTCATTATTTCATTATTTCATCTCACTTCATCTCATCATTTCATCTCATCATTTTTCATCTCGTCATTTCATCTCATCATCTCATGTTATCATTTCATCTCATTTCTTCTCATCATTTCATCTCATCATTTTATTTCATCTCACCTCATTTCAGTTTCATTATTTCATTTCCTTTCACTTTATTTCATTTCATCTCATCTCATCATTTCATCTCATCTTACCTCATTTCATCTCATCATTTCTTCTTATCTCATCTCATCATTTCATCATTTCATCTCATTTCATCTCATCTCACCTCATCGCATCATTTCATCTCATCCTTTCATTTCATCTCATCATTTCATCTCCTTTCATCTCATCTCACCTCAGCATTTCATCATTTCATCTCATCATTTCTTATTTCATCTCATTTTATCTCATCATTTCATCTCATCTCATCTCAATTCAATTTCCTTTCATTATTTCATTTCATCTCATTCATTTCATCTCATTTCATTACATCTCATTTCCTCTCATCATTACATCTCATCTCATCTCATCATTTCATCTCATCATTGCATCTCATCATTTCATCTCATTTCATCTCATCATTCATCTCATTTCATCTCATTTCCATTTCATTTCCATTTCATCATTTCATCATTTAATTTCATCATCTCATTTAATTTCACCTCATTTCATTTTTTCTTTTCATTATGTCATTTCATTTCATCTCATTACATGGCATCTAATTTCATTTCATCTCATTTCATCTCATCTTTTCATCTCATCATTTCATATCATCTCATCAACTCATTTCATCTTATCTCATCATTTCATCATTTCATCTCATCATTTCATCTCGTATCTTCTCATCTCATTTCAATTTCATTTCATTACTTCATTTCATTATTTCATGTCATGTCATCTCATCATTTCATCTCATCACATCTCATCATTTCATCATTTTATTTCATCATTTCATCTCATCTCAATTTTATTTCAATTTCATTTCATTTCATTATTTCATTTCATTTCATCTCATGAGTTCATTATTTCATTGCATTTCATTTCATCTCATCATTTCATCTCATCATTCATCTCATCATTTCATATCATCATTTATTCTCACCATTTCATTTCATCTCATCTCATCATTTCATCTCATTTCATCTCATCTCATTTCATCATTACATCTTATTTCATCTCATTTTATGTCATTTCATGTCATCATTTCATCACATCTCGTCTCATCTCATCTTTTCATCTCATCATTTCATCTCATCATTTCAACTCATTGCATCTCATCTCATCATTTCCATTTCATTATTCCATTTCATCATTTCATTTCATTATGTCATTTCATCTCATCACATTTCATCTCATCTCATTTCATCTCATCTCATCATTTCATCTCATTTCATCTCATTATTTCATCTGATTTCATGTCATCATATCATGTCATCAATTCATCTCATTTCATCACATCTCATCATTTCATCTCATCATTTAATCTCATTTCATCTCATCTCATCATTTCATCTCATCATTTCATCTCATCTCATCATTGCCATTTCATTATTTCATCATTTCATTATTTCATTTCATCTCATTTCATTATTGCATTTCATTATGTCATTTCATTTCATCTCATTTCATTACATCTCATTTCATCTCATTTCATTTCATCTCATCATTTCATCTCATTTCATCTCATCTCATCTCATTTCATCTCATCATTTCATCTCATTTCATCTCATCTCATTTCATCATTTCATCTCATCATTCCATCTCATCTCATTTCAATTTCATCATTACATTTCATAATTTCCTTTCATTATTTCATTTCATTTCATCTCATTTCATTATTTCATCTCATTTTTCATCTCATCATTTTTCATCTCATTTCATCTCATCATTTCATCTTATCATCTCATCTCATTTCATCATTTCATCGTATTGTTCATCTCATTTCATCTCATCATTTTATCTCATTATATCATCTCATCTCATCTCAATTTCATTATTTCATATCATTTCATTTCATTATTTCATTTCATCTCATCATTTCTTCTCATCATTTCATCTCATCATTTTATCCATCATCTCATCTCATCTCATCTCCTTTCAATTTCTTTTCAATTTTGTCATTTTGTCTCATCATTTCATCTCATCATTTCTACTCACCATTTCATCTCATCATTTCATCCCATCATTTCATCATTTCATCTCATCTCAAGTCATCTTATCATTTCATCTAAGTGAAATGATGTAATGGAATCATGAAATGAAATGGATAGGATGCCCTCAGTGATGTTAAATTTAAAAATTGTTTTCATGTATTCATTTTTATATTTATATGTATTTATATTTCTATTTACTTATATTTCTTTTTACTTATTTTAAATTATATTTTTACTTATTTATTTATAGACAAGGTCCTGTTCTGTGGCCTAGGCAGGAATGCAGTGGTGCATTCAAAGTTCACTGCAACCTCGAGCAAACCTCCCACCTTAGCCTCCCAGGTAGCTGGGACCCCAGGTGCGTACCACCACACCTGGTTAATATTTTATTATTTGTAGAGATGGAGTCTTGCTATGCTGCCCAGGCTGGTCTCAAACTCCTGGGCTCAAGCAATCCTCCTGCCTTGGCAACCCAAAATGCTGGGATTACAGATATGAGCCACAGTGCCAAACCTATTTATTTGTTTATTTATTTAATAAAGAAAAGGTCTCACTATGTTGCCCAGGCTGGTCAACTCCTGCACTCAAATGATTCTTCAAACTTGGCCTCTCAAAATGTTGGGATTACAGGTATAAGCCACCATGCCTGGCCTAAAAATAGTATTATATTTTTGCATTATATAATTTTCAATTAGGTAATATGAATATTCTGTACAGGAAATATGCCCTTAATTACATAGGAATAAACATTTGTTATACTGAGAATAATCTAATAGAGCTAAAAATAAAAATTAATTTGGAGAGGTCATTAGATACACATACATTCTTATGTTTATACATTCTTTCATATATTCATATATTCTTTTAACAGTATCAATGGTTTGGAGTTACGTGTACAAAACCATGACCTATATGTAATACAACTAATAACAAGCACTTACAATTCAAGGCATATTATATACAAAGTTTTAACTTCTCATCATCAGATTTCGTTTTTTTTCTTTCTGTTTTGGCAGATACTATGAACACAACATTCAACTCACAGACACTATGGAGCCCTTACTAAGCATAAAGTACTGTGAAAGGCTAGGGCTAGGACAGAACTGAGACAGGGCCAGGGATAGGACAGAACTGGGGCAGGGTCATGGCCAGAGAAAAACCAGGGGCAGGGTCACAGCCAGGGACATGAGAGGACCAAGGCCAGGGCCAGATGTAGGGCAGAACCAGGGCCAGGGCAGGGACATGGCAGGGCCAGGGCCATGGCAGGATCAGGGCCATCAGAAGGCCAGGGCAGGGCTAGGGTAGCACAGGGCCAAGGCAGGGCAGGGTCAGTGTAGAGCAAGGAACGGGCCAGGGTATGGCAGGGCAGGGACAGGGAGGTCCAGGGCCAGAGTCAGGTCCAGGACATGGACAGGGCAGGGCCAGAAATATGGCAGGACCAGAAAGGGGACAGGGAAGGGGCAAGGCCAAGGCCAGAGAAGGACCACGGTAAAAACATGGCCAGGGAGGGTCCAGGACAAGGGCAAGGCCAGGGCAGAACCAGAGCCAGGGCAGGCAAAGGCAGGGCCAGGGCAGGGCAGGGCCAGGGCAGGTCAACGCCAGGGTAGGGTAGGGCCAGTGTAGGGTGAGGGTAGGGCCAGGGCAAGTTCAGGGCCAGGGCAGGACTAAGATAGCACAGGGCCAAGGCCAAGGCCCTGTACTAAGATAGCACAGGGCCAGGGCAGGGCCAAAGGAGGGGCCAGGGCCAAGCATGGCCAGTGTGGGGCCTGGGGATTGTCAGGGCCAGGGCCAGGGTGAAGGCTGAGCCAGAGACAGGGCCAGAGCAATGGCAGGGCCAGGGAGAAGGCAGAACCAGAGAGGATCCAGAGAAACAGCAGGGCCAGGGCAGAACAAGGACCAGGATAAGGCAAAGCCAAGGCCAGGGCAGGGCAACGACAGGGCAGGGCAAGACCAGGGAAGGGCAAGGCCAGGGTAGAAAAGGCCAGTGTACAGCCAGGCCAGGGTAGGAAAAGGCCATGGTAGGGCCAAGGCCAAGGTGGGGCAGGGCTAGGGTAGCACAGGGCATGGCCAAAAACAGGGCAGGGCCATAGCAGTGGCAGGACTAGCAACAGGGCCAGGGTAAGTGCTGGACCAGAGCATGGTGGGGACAATACAGGGCCAGGACAGATGATGGCAAGGCAGGTCCAAGGTCATTTCATGGACTCGGTAGGCCTGGGGTCAGGCCAGGGCAGGGAAAGGGCAAGGCCAGGGAGAAGGCTGGGCCGGGGCCAAGGCACTGCCAGGACAGGGCAGGACCAGTGCAGGGTGAGGGCAAGGCCAGGGCATGGATGGGCAGGGCAGGACCAACGAAGGGCCAGGAGAGGGCCACGGCAGGGTCAAGGCCAGAACAAGGGTATGGCTGGGGTCAGGAATATGGTAGGGCAAGGGCTGGGCCCAGACTGGGACACACAGGGCAGAGCATGGCCTGTACAAGGCAGGGCCAGAGCCAGGCCATAGAGATGGGAGGGCAACACCAAGGCAGAGTCAGGGTAGATCCAGGGCTGAGCAGAGTCAGGGCGGGTCCATAGTCGAGGCAGAGCTAGGGCCCAAGCAGGGCCATGGCAGCACCAGGGCAGAGGAGGGCAGGGCAATGCAGGACTGGGCCATGGCAGTGCCTGGTCAACTTCGGGGCAGGGCCAGAAGCAGGACAGGGCCAGGGCCAATGCTCAGGCCAGGGACAGGGCATGACAGCAAGTGCCAGAGCAGGGCTGGGCCAAAGTTGGGGCAGGGCAAATCAGACCAGGACACCTCCAAGTCCAGCTCTGGCCCTGCCTTGGCCCTGGCCCCTTCCTGACCTGACCTTGTCCCTGGCCCTGTCCTATCCATGCCCTGTGTGTTTGACCAGTGTTTTATAACCAGAATCCTACAAGAAACTTAAATCAGCTCTTTTTGTGCATTTTTAGTAGAGATGGGGTTTCACAATGTTGCCCAGGCTGGTTCCAAACTCCTGAGCTCAAGCCATCTGCCTGCCTTGGCCTCCCAAAGTGCTGGGATTACAGGAGTAATCTGGCCAAGTATTTAACTTCTTTATGCCTGTTTCCTACATTTGGAAAATGGGGATGCTTTAAGTACCTAGCACATAGAATTATTGTGAGAATCAATGCCTCACATATTTACATATTGATAAAATTATACTCATAGAACAGTACTGGAAGCAGAGATAGTATTAGTTAAAATTTAGTGATTATTTACTGTAAATATTATTACTATTACAAACAACATAGTATAGACATTATTACCACTACTATAGTTATCTTAAAAATCTAAAATAAAAATTTTACATAATAGCCTAATGTAATCTCCCCTGCTCTGCCCCGGCTCAGCCCTAGTGCCGGCTCTGCCCCTAGTCCTACCACATCCCTGGCCCTGACCCTTCCCTGGTCCTGCCGCTGCCCTGGCCCTTCCCATCTTCAGGCCTTACCATGGCCCTACCCTGGTCCTGACCCTGGCCCTACCCCAGAGAAGGGGTATGGCAGAGCCAGGGAAGGGCTGGGGCAAATAAGGGACAGGACACATCCAAATCCAGGAAAGGGCCAGGGCCATGACAGAGCCAGGGCGAGTCCTTGGCAGGGCCAGGTTCCAGGCCAGGGCCAGGAAAGGGTCATGGCAGGGTCACTGTATGGCCAAGGTCCAGGCCAAAGCCAAGGCAGGGGCAGGGTCAGGCCTGCATAAGGGCAGGACCAGAGCCAGTGATACGGCAGGGCCAGGGCCAGGGAGGGCCAGGGCTGTGTCAGGACAGAACAAGAGCAGAGCAGGGCAGGACCAGAGCCAGGCCATAGAGAGAGTAGGGCAAATGCCAAGGCAAGGCCAGGGTAGTGCCAGGGCTGAGGCAAGGTCAGGGAAGGTCCAGGGCTGAGTCAAGGCTGGAACAAAGACAGGGGCAAAGGCCGGGGCAGATCTAGGGCACAAGCAGGGCAGGCTAGGGCAGGGCAATGGCAAGACCAGGCCATGGCAGGGCCAGCCCAGGATAGAACAGGGCACAGGCAGGACAGGGCCAGGGCCATGGCTGGGGCAGGACAAGGACCAGGACCAGGGTCCAGGCCAGGGCAAGGGTATCACCAGGGCAGAAGTAGGGCCAGAACCAGGGTCTGGGCAGGACCAAGGAGAGTCCATTGCAGGGCCAGGGTTCAGACCAGGGCCAGAGCAGGGCTGGGACAGGGCCAGGGCCAGGACCAGGAAAGGGCAATGTCAGGATAAGAGCCATGGCAGGACCAGCAACCAGGCTAGGGCCAGGACAGGGACAGGGACAGGGTCAGGGCTAGGGCCAGAATAGCATGCCAGGGTAGAGCCAGGCCAAATTAGGGCCAGGACAGGGTCAGGACCAGGGCTGGGCCAGGGTATGGCCTTAAGTAGTGAAGGGCCAGGGCCAGGGTCCATGCCAGTGCCAGCGCTGGTCCAGGGCAGAGGCAGGGCCATGGCCAGGTCAAGGACAAGGCTGGCAGGGCCAAGGTCTGGGTCAGGGTCAGCACAAGACCAGGACAGAGCCAGGGGAGGGACAGGGCCATGGTAGGGCCAGGTTAAATCAGGGACAAGACACCTGCAAATCCACTTCAGGGCCAGGGTCAGGGCAGGGCCAGTTCAGGGCCAGGGCCAAGACAGGGCCAGGGCCAGGGCTGTCAGGGTCATTGGCAGGCCCAGGGCCATGGCAGGACCAGGGTCAGGAGCAAGGGTCAATGCCAGGCCAACGCCACAGATACGACCAGGTCTGTGCTAGGGCCAGTGTGAGGGCCAAGGTGGGGTCAGGGCAGGGCCAAAGGGAGGGCAAGGCAAGGGCAGGGTGGAACAGGCCCAGAGTAGCACATGGTTAAGATAGGGCACGACCAACCAGGGCAGGTCTATGGCTGGGGCCGGGGCATGGAAAGGGCCGGGGCAGGGCCAGAGCCAGGGCAGGGCAAAGACAGTGGCAGCTCCAGGGCAGGCCCAGGGTTAGGACCACGGACATGTCCAAGGCCAGTGCCAGGGCAAGGACAAGGGCAGGGGCAGGGCCAGGGTCATCTAAGAACCAGGGACAAAGCCAGGCCCAGAGCAGGGCCAGGACAGGTACCTGGAAGGGCTAGGGTCTGGGACAGGGCCATGGCAGGGCCAGGGCCACAACCAGGTCTGTGCTATGGCCAGGTCCAACACAGTGCCCAGGTAAGGCTAGGGTGAAGGCCAAGGTAGGGCCAGGGCGGGGTCAAAGCCAGGCGAGGGCCAAGGCAGGACCAGGGCTGGAAAGGCAGGGACAGGAAAGCATAGGGCCAAGGCAGGGCAGGGCCAGGCCAGTGCCAAGACCTGGGCAGGGCCAGGGAACAGCCAGGGCAGGGCCAGGGCCAGGGCCAGGGCCAGGGCCAGGGCCTGGGCAGGACCAGGTTTGGGGCAGGAGCAAAACAAGGGCAAGGACAGTGCAGGATCTTGGCACAGCCAGGGCCCAGGACAGTGTCAGGGCAGGGCCAAGGCAGGGTCAGGGCCATGGTAAGACCAGCAACAGGGCTGGGGCTAGGCCAGTGACAGGACCAGAGTCAGGGCAAGGGCCAGAGCAGTGCAAGGCCAGGGTAGGGCCAGGCATTTCAGGGTCAGGGCCAGGGGAGAACCAGGGCAAGGTCTCAAGCAGGGAAGGGCCAGGGCCAGAACAGGTCCAGGGCAGGGCCATGACAGGGCCAGGGGCTGTGTTAGGGCAAAGGCAGGGCCAGAGCAAGGTAAGGGTCAGGGCCAAGGCCAGGGTAGGGACAGGGCAAGAAATATGGCATGACCAGGGGCAATTCCAAGGCCAAGGCTGGGCCAGGGCTGAGTCAGGGCAGGGCAGGGCAGGGCATGGCATGGCCAGTGCAGGACAGGACAAGAGCCGGTCCACAGAGAGAGCAGGGCTGATGCCAAGAAAGAGCCAGGCTAGTGCCAAGGCTGAGGCAGTGTCAGAGCATGTCTGGGGCAGGGCCGGGGCCAGGGCCAGAACTGAGCCAGGGCACAGCCAAGGCAGGGTAGGGCAGGGAAACAGCATGGCCGGGTCAGTACTGGGACAGGGCAGAGCAGGGCAAGGCAATGGTAGGGGCAGGGCAGGGACAGGCCAATGCAGAGCCACGTTATGCCGGGGCCAGGACACCTCCAAGTCCACTTCAGGGCCAGGGCTATGGCAGGACCAAGACCAGGGCCAGGGTCAGGGCCAGGTCTGTGCTAGGGCCAGCTCCAGAGCAGGGCCTAGCAAAGACTAGGGTGAGGGTCAAGGTAAGGCCAGGGCAGGGTCAAAGGCAGAGTAGGGCCAGGGCAGGGTGATGACACATCCAGAGCACAGCAGGGCAGGGTGATGGCAAGACCAGGGGCAGACCACTGCCAGCTCAGGGCCAGGGAAAGGCCAGTGCAGAGCCAGGAAAGGGTCAGGGCCAGGAACAAGGCAGAGCAGGGCCAGGGCCATGGCAGAGTCAGGGCAAGTCCTTGACAGGACCAGGTTCCAGGCCAGGGCCAGGGCAGCAGCAGGGGCAGGGCCTGGATAAGGGCAGGGCCAGGGATATGGCAGGACCAGGGCTAGGGCCAGGGCCAGGCCATAGTGAGGGCAGGGCAAAAGTCGAGGCAGGGTCTGGGCAGGTCCAGGGAGCGGCCAGCACCAAGCAGGGCCAAGGCACAACCAGCACAGCGTAAGGCAGGGCAATGGCACCACTGGGCCATGACAGGGAAGGTCAGTGCCAGGAGAGGGCAGAACAGGCAGGCCCATGGTGGGGCCAGGGCAGGGATGGGCCAAAGCAGGACCAGGACATGTCCAAGGCCAGGTCAGGGCCAGAACAGGATTAGGACCATGACCACTGGCAGGGCCAGTGCCATGACATGACCAGGGTCAGGACAAGGGGCAGGGCCAGAGCCAGGGCCAGAGCCAAGGTCAGGCCAGTGCAGGTTCAGGGCAGGGCCAGTGCCAGGGCAAGACCAGGGCAGGGACAGGGTAGCACAGGGCCAAGACAGGGTCAGGATGGGACCAGAGCTGGACAGGGCCGAGACAGTCCAGGTAACAGTAGGGCAGGTACAGGGCAAGGCAGGGCAAAACCAGGCCCATTGCCAATGCACCAGCCCTCCCTACAAGGCTCCTACAACCTGGCCACTGCTGCAGCCCGTCCATCGCTGTAAGCCTGACCCCAACCCTGGCTGCAGCCGCCTGCCCTCCTAGCGCGGCCGCTCTCCTACCGCTCTGGCGCACTGCAGTCTCCATTGCTGCCACCCACCCGCAGCGAGGCAAGTCATGGTGTCACAGGCTCTAGGTGTCTCCTTCTCCTCCTGGCACGGAGCAGCTGGGCGGGCAAAGCCAGAAAAGCCTAGAGGAAGATGTAAGGGGTGGAAGGGTTAGAGCCTCAACTTGTCGTGCTGGCCACTGGGTGGCAGGGGCCAGTTTCAGCAAAGGCCCTCACACCCACCCTCCAAAGTCCAGCCTCTCCTTTTGGCCCAAGCTGGCTGGGAACTGGGGTCTGGGGTGGGTGCTGGAGACACCACAGCACCCAGCTCCCCACTCCACAGGAACCATTGGGCCCACCAGGGCTGCACTCCTTGGGGAACAGGAGAAGCAGAAAAATTCAGACCCAGCCAGCCCTCTGCACCCAGGTGCCAATTCCTGTTCCGGACGCCTCCACACACAGGGCCCTGTCCCCCGTGGTGTCCCCAGGGGTGCCTGGCAGCCTCTGAGGCACAGACCCAGAGTGCACAGGCCTAGGAACCACGGTAGGTGTGGGGGCTCTGCCATGCTCAGGATTCCCACACAAACGCTGCGTGCCTGCCGCACTCCAGTAGGACCAAGAGTGGGTCGCCCTCTGGAGTGTGGAGTCAGGGAGAGGAGAACCACTCCTTCCTTGGATGCCAACTCTGCTGACCGCCGCCAGCAGTGCAGCCCCTGATAGCACCGAACTTGCCCGCCCTCCACAGCTAGTCCTGCCCTCAATAGCGCCCCCCACCTCCATCCCCCAATGCCTCCAGTAGCGTATACCCGATAGTGCCCTAACCTGTCCTCCTCCATGGGCATTGCAGCCCCAGAAAGTGCCCATAACCCACCCTCCCTGCCATGGGCAGTGCAGCCCTGTACAGTGCTACCAACCAGTAGCCCTAATGCAGGCAATGACAACCTGGATAGCGCCCCCAACCCACCCCACACTGTGAAAGGTGCAGCCCTGGATACCCCCTGTCATACCACTCTGGTCGTGCTGCAGTCTCTGTCACCACCACCACCAATCACAGTGAGGCAAGCCAGTGGGCCACAGGCTCTAGCACCCAGCAGCCAGGCACGGAGCAGCTCTCGCCGATGGCTGGCTCCTACCACTCTGACCACGCTGCTGTCTCTGTGGCCATCTTCTTTGACTACAAAAGAATAAAACTAGGTATCAATAAGAAGAGTAATTTTGGAAACAATACAATCACATGGAAGTTAAACACTACCCTCCTGAATAAATGACTAGCGGGTAAATGAAGATACTAAGACAGAAATTCAAAAATTTCATGAAACAAAGGGTAACGAAAACACAGTATACCAAAACTTGTTACGCAGAAAGCAGTACAGAGGCAGAGATTTACAGCTATAAGTGCCTACCATCCAAACAAAAGAAAAACTTCAAATAAACAATACATCTTAAAGAACTAGTAAAGTAAGAACAAACTAAACCGAAAATAAGAAAATAAACAAGATCGTAGCAGAAATAAAATTGAAAGAAAAAACACACAAGATTAAATGAAAAGTTGGTTTTCTGGAAAGCAAAACAAAATTGACAAACTTTTAACCAGGCTAACTAAGAAAAAAGAGACAAGATTCAAATAAATAAAATCAACAGATTAAAAAAAGGAGACATTACAACTAATACTTCAGAAATTCAAAGGATCATAACTGGCTATTATATGCCAATAAATTGGAAAGCCTAGTAGAAATTGGCAAATTCCTAGATGCATACAACCTACTTAGGTTGAACAATGAAAACATCCAAGACCAGAACAGATCGGTAAAAAGTAATGAGATTGAAGCCATCAGAAAAAGTCTCCCAGTAAAGAAAAGCCCAGGAACTGATGTCTTCACTGCTGATGGCTTCACACCAAACAATTTAAAGACCTAGTACAAATCCTACTCAAACTATTTTGAAAAACAGGAGGGGATACTTCCAAACTTATTCTATGAGACCATTATTACTGTGATACCAAAATCAGACAAAGGCATCAAAGAAGGAAACTACAGGCCAGTATCTCTAATATTGATGCAAAAATCCTCAACAAAATACAAGTGAATCAAATTCAGTAATACATTAAAAAGATAATTCATCATGATCAAGTGGGATGTATCCCTGGGATGCAAGGGTCACTCAACATACAATGTGATACATCATATAAACCGAATAAATGTCAACTGAAACTGAAAAAGCATTTGATGAAATTCAACATCCCTTCATGCTATTAATCCTCAAAGAAACGGGTACAGAAGAAACATACTGCAACATAGTAAAAACTACAGGAAAGACACCCACAGCTAGAATCATATGGAGAGAGGTCCAGGCTGCAGTGAGCTGTGATCCCACCACTGCACTCCAGCCTGGGCAACAGAATGAAACCCTGTCTCAAAAAAAAAAAAAAAAACAAAAAACGTAAAAAGAGGTATGAGCCTCTTTTATAGGTACAGTGACTCACATCTGTAATCCCAACACTTTCTGGGAGGCTGAGGTGAGAGGATCTCTTGAGGCCAGGAGTTCAAGATCAGCCTGGGCAATATAACAAGACCCTTTATCTACAAAAAATTTTTAAATATTTGCCAGGTGTGGCGGCACGTGCCTGTAGTCTTAAACAATTATATGACCCAGATAGTGTATTCCTTAGGGATATACCCAAGGGAAATGAAAATATACATCCACACTAAAATTTGTACACAAATGTTCACAGCAGCATTGTGCATAATAGCCAAAAATTGGAAAAAAAACTCAAGTGCCTATCAACAGAGGAACTGATAAAATATGGTATATCCATTCAAAAGATTACTCAGCATTAAAAAAGAATGAAGTGCTGATATATGCTACAGCATGGATAAACCTTGAAAACACTGTGCCAAGTGAAGTAAGTCAATCACAAAAGACCACATGTAGTAAGATTTCATTCTGTGAAGCCTCCAGAAGAGCTAAACTCAGAGACAGAAAGTAGGCTAGTTATTGCCAGGGACTAGGGGAAAAGGGAATAAGGATGACTGCTAATGGGTATGGGATTTCTTGTGGACTGATGAAAATGGTCTGAAAGTATCTAGATACCTGTCTTGTTTGTGCGATTCTGTGAACATATTATAAACCACAAAATTCTGCACTCAAGGGGTTGATTTCATGGTAGGTGAATTTATCTCATTTATCTTTATCTCAATAAAGCTTTTTAAAGACACTTAAAAAAGACATCTGTATAAGCTACAAATATAACACACTGAGAGACTAAAATGCTTAATTTTTCCATTTTTCTTCTTCAGCGCAATCTCAAGTCCAAAAGTCTTTCCTTCCTATATATGCATATTTTGTCCAGTGAAACAAGAAACTCTATTAACTTTTTTATTAGAAATTTAAAAAAGCCAGGTGTGCTGGCTCACAGCTGTGCTTCCAGCTACTCAGAAGGCTGAGACAGAAGGATCACTTGAGGCCAAGACTGGGAGTTCAAGACCAGCTGAGGCAACATAGCTAGATCCTGTCTTTAAAAATATTTTTCAGGCCAGGCATGGTGGCTCATGCCTGTAATCCCAGCACTTTGGGAGGCCAAGGAGGGCAGATCATTTGAGATCAGGAGTTCAAAACCAGCCTGGACAACATGGTGAAACCCCATCTCTACTAAAAATATAAAAATTAGCCAGGTGTGGTGGTGGGCACCTGTAGTCCCAGCTACTTGGGAGGCTAAGGCAGGAGAATTGCTTGAGCCGGGAGGGTGGAGGCTGCAGTGAGGCCAAGATCATGCCATTGCACTCCAGCCTGGGTGACAGAGCAAGACTCCGTCTCAGGAAAAAAAAAAAAAAAAAAAAAAAAAAAATATATATATATATATATATATATATATATATATGTAAATATTTTTAAGTTAAAACCCTACTGAAATGAAACTAATAAAATAAAATTCAAGTTAATTAAAAAATAGTTCCTGAAATATTAATTTTCAAACAATTCTATTTTAGCTTTGACTCTGAACAAAATATAAACCTCAATTTCAAAATATCACAAAGATTGGCTGGGGGCAGTGGCTCATGCCTGTAAGTCCAGCACTTTGGGAGGATGAGGCAGGTGGATCACTAGAGGCCAGGAGTTCCAGAGCAGCCTGGCCAACATAGGGAAACCCAGTCTCTACTAAAAAAATACAACAAAAATTAGCTGGGTCTATTAACCCCAGCTACTCAGGAGGCTGAGGCATTAGAATCGCTGGAATCTGGGAGGTGGAGGTTGCAGTGAGCGGAGATCATGCCACAGCACTCCAACCTGGGCGACAGACTGAGACTCTGTCTCAAAAAAATAAAAATAAGGCCAGGTGCCGTGGCTCACACCTGTAATCCCAGCACTTTGGGAGGCCAAGGTGGGCAGATCGCTTGAGGTCAAGGAGTTTGGGACCAGCCTGGGCAACACAGTGAAACCTCCTCTCTACTAAAAATACATAAATTAGCTGCGCATGGTGGCACACACTTGTAATGCCAGCTACACCAGAGGCTGAGGCAGGGGAATCGCTTGAATTCGGGAGGTGGAGGTTGTAGTGACCTGAGATTGTGCTACTGCACTCCAGCCTGGACGACAGAGTGAGACTCCATCTCAAAAAAAAAACAAAAAAAAAGAAAATTTAAATTTAAAATTTAAAAAAATCACAAAGACTACAAATACTCAGGTTTAAGCAAATTCCCACCTTTCTTGAATTAACAGTAATTCATATTTGCTTTGTCAAAAATGTAGATATTTACCTGCCCCAACGGAATGAAATCCTAAAAGCCTAGTGTTCTCAAATGATGAAGAGAAAGAAACATGAATATTTTAATTAATAATTTTGATTCAGAATTAATTTTAACCTAGCTGGAGTATACATAATCATTTATGTATTTACTTATTTAAGAGACTGGGTTTCTCTGTGTTATCCAGGCTGGAATGCAGTGGCACAACCTTGGCTCACTGCAACTTGTACTTCCTGAGCTCAAGTGATCCTCCCACCTCAGCCTCCAGAGTAGCTGAGACTGCAAGTGCATGCTACCACACCCAGCTAATTTTTGCGGAGACGAGCCTCACTATGTTTCCCACACTGGCCTTTAATTCCTTGGCTCACTACAGCCTCAAGCCCCTGGGATCAAGCAATCTGCCTCCCAAAGTGCTGAGATTACAGGAGTGAGCCACCGCACCCCGCCTATTGGATAGTATATACTAAGCAACATGTACCCTGCTTTTGCCTAGAACATACTGAAAACATGGCATTAAAAACAATCACAAAAGTTGGGAGCTGAGAAAAATCATATACTGTAAAACAAATCTGACAGATATTAATCTCAAGAAGCTCCTGAAAATGTCTCAAGAACTCCTATGCTGCACTCTCCCTAATAATTTAGACTTTCTACAGATATTTTCTGATCATCTACCGTGTGCCAGGCACCATGCCACGTACCAAGATGCCATGGTGAGGTATACACAAAACCGGCTCCTGCTTGTAGGAAGCCTACTCTCTAAAACAGTGCTTGCCAAGCTCGACTGATCCAACTTGGGAGCTTGTTTAAGTTCCAAATCGGCTTCCCTGCTTTGGTGAGCCACAATCCGTGGCATTTTTATCAGGTGCTCCCAGTGATTCCTACGCTCTAACGGGTTTGGGAGGCAAGGGTGGGGGTAAGCTGGAGAGCCCAGAGCCATCCCGTCCAGCGGGAGCCCCACCTCTAAAGTCCATGTCGCTCAGCATCCTTCCCCCTGACTAGTGGCCCAAACACAGCACGAAGCTGAGGTGGGTGGAACGCTTTCCAAAACAGCGCTCTATGATGAGCCACTGACAGACTTGCTCGCCTCCGGGAACGAAGAGCTCACTCCTCACAAACCCCCCCCCCCCCCCCCCCCCCCCGGGAAAGGTAGCACCTGAGCCTCCCGGGCTGCGCCGACACCTGGACACCTGTCTCCCCGCGGGTGCCACCTACTGCTCCAGGGGACTCCAGTCCCCAGGTTCCGCCCCACGGGGACTGGGGGGAGGGGGGAGGCGCCCCGCGCATTAGGCGCCAACTGTATACCGACCCCCCCCTCCGGAGTGCGCAGGCCAGCACCCATACACACCCTCACACACCCACACACACTCCCGTGGAAACTGAGGCAGGCAGGCGGCGGACCAGGTCCCGCCGCCTGACGGCTCGCGGCTGGGATTGAAGCCGGACCTTCCGCCTCACAGGCGCTCCTCAGCCGCTGAGGCCCGGCCCAGCTCCCACCGCCGGAGTCTCACAAACAAAGTCTCCTGGCCCGAGCCCCTCACGCACTCACCTGCGCCGACGCCGGCGGCGATTCGGGCTCCAGCCGCCTTCAGCTCCTTGCGGGGGCCCTTGGGTCGGCTCGGGCGCCGGCGGCGGCGACTGCTCCATATCCACGGGGTCCGGGCGGCGTCCGCCTCGAGTTAAAGGTCCCGCCAGCTAGGCGCGCGCGCCAGTTCCGCTCGCCATGTTCCAGCCGTGCTGCGCGCCGCCGCGGCGACCCTCACTGCCCCCCAACCGCGCGCGCACCCGCTCCCCGCGCGCCCCCCCTCCCCGCGCGCCCCGCCTCGCGCCCTCTGGAGCTGACCGCTGTTCCCAGTGTCTCGCCCACCCCCGCGGGGCCCGTCCGACTCGACGGGTGAGCCCGTGGTTCCCGGCTCCGCACCGTCGCCTGCCTCTCTGCAGACCACCCCGGACCCGACCCCTCAGCCACTTCCCCACGCTGCCCCTTTCGCTTCCCCCATGACGCGGGGCCTAGGACGAGGGTCTGGGCCAAGAGGAACTTCCCCGCAAGAAGTGCCGAGCTAAGGACGCTACTAAGGGGGCGGGATCGCCACGTGGAGGTGTGCAAGCACGTGCCTGCGTCCGGGAGACAGCCAGACTCAACGGAGAAGCTGAGTTCAAGTCCCACATCTCCACTAACCCTTGCGTGTTAGGGTCAGGGCTTCAGGACTTGTTTCTCCTAAATCTTTTTTTTTTTTTGAGACAGTCTCTGTCACCCAGGCTGGCGGCTTTTTGCCCGCCCCGGCTTTTGCCCCCCCGCCGCCGCGACTTTTTGCCCGCCGCGGCTTTTTGCCCCCCCCCTCCCCCCCGCCGAGGCTTTTTGACCCCCCGGCCGCCGCGGCTTTTTCCCCACTGCGGTTTTTTGCCCCGCGCCGCCGCGACTTTTTGCCCGCCGCGGCTTTTTGCACCCCCACTGCCGCGGCTTTTTGCCCCCCGACGTTGCGGCTTTTTGCCGGTCGCGGCTTGTTGCCCCCCTGCCACCGCGGCTTTTTGCCCCCCATCGCCGCGGCTTTTTGTCCCCCGCCGCCGCGGCTTTTTGCCGGTCGCGGCTTGTTGCCCCCCTGCCACCGCGGCTTTTTGCCGTGCGCCGCCGCGGCTTTTTGACGCCGCGGCTTTTTGCCCCCACCCCCCGGTGCCGCGGTTATTTGCCTGCCGCGGCTTTTTGCCCCCGACTGCCGCGGCTTTTTGCCCCTCGCTGCCACGGCTTTTTGCCCCCCCGCCCCCGCTGCCGCGACTTTTTGCCCGCCGCGGCTTTTTGCCCCCCCGCCGCCGCGGCTTTTTGCCCCCCCGCCGCCGCGGCTTTTTGCCCCCCCGCCGCCGCGGCTTTTTGCCTCCGCGGCTTTTTACCCGCCGCGGCTTTTCGCCCCTCGCTGTCGCGACTTTTTGCACCACCCCCCCCGCCGCCGCGACTTTTTGCCCACCGCGGCTTTTTGCACCCCCGCCGCCCCGGGTTTTTGCCCCCCCCCCCCCCCGCCGCCGCTGCCATTTCTAGGCTAATAAACTAAGAATCATGTAAACTAAACCAAAATAGAATAGACATAAAAGTCCTGAACACTTCAACTTCCTATCCTTCACGAAGTATACCTCGCAAAGCTCATTTGAGAGAGGAAAAGCTTTCCTCCACCCTCTGTTTTACAGCGCTGAGGCTTCTCATCACATTTCTATGACTTGTAGCTTAAATCCATGTTACATGGTCACTGGCATTGTTAGGACTTCTCTTTTAACACTGTAGGAATTAATCAATTTGGTGGCATATTTAATTAATTCTATCACTAGAGGATTGTAAAATTACATATATGAATACCTCACTTTAGAGGCCACTTAATTTTTTTCCAAGGGGATATTTGACTATATTTCACTTGTGTCTTATTTAATGATTTTATAATTTAAACCCTAAATTATAAATCTAGAATTTAGAAAGTATATTTCCCCACTGGATTACATTTTTGGAAATATTATTTTATATGTACACAAATATTACAAAATCACTGTAGACACCTGCAAACTATATTATCTTTTAAAGGCAATATTTATATTAAACTGGTATAACAAAATTGACTCAATTTCATTCCATTCTGCCCTGATTTTGGTTATTTATTTTCTTCTGCTAGCTTTGGGTTTGTTTACTCTTGTTTTTCTATTTCCTTTAGGTATGATATTAGGTTGTTAATTTAAGATCTTTCTAACTTTTCAATATGGGCCTTTAGCACGATAAATTTTTCACTTAACACTGCTTTGCCTGTGTCTTAGAGAGCCTGGAATGTTGTATCTTTGTTTTAATTAGTTTCAAAGAATTTATTGGTTTCTGCCTTAATTTCATTGTTTACCCAAAAGTCATTCAGGCACAGGTTGCTTAATTTCCATGTAATTGTATGGTTTTGAGAGTTCTTCTTAGTGTTGACTTCTATTTTTGTTACACTGAGCAGTCCAAGAGTGTGGTTGGCATGATTTCTGGGGTTTCTTTTAATTTATTGAAAATAATTTTAGACTGATAGTGTGATCGATTTTACAATATATGCCATGTACAGATGAGAGGAAGATATATTCTGTTGTTGTTGGGTGGAGTGTTCTGTAGATGGCTGTTAGGTCCATTTAGCCAAGTGTTGACTTCAAGTCTTGAATATCTTTGTTCATTTTCTGTCTCTATGATCTGTCTAGTACCATCAGTGAGATGTTGAAGTCTCCCACTATTATTCTGTGGTTATCTAAGTCTCTCTATAGGTCTCTATGAACTTGTTTTATGAATGTGAATGCTCCAGTTTTGAGCACATTTATCTATCAGACAGTTAACTCTTCTTGTTGAATTGAACCCTTTATCATTACTTAGTGCCCTTCTTTGTGTTTTTGATTGTTGTTGGTTTAAAGTCTATTTTGTCTGAATTAGAATAACAATGCTTACCCTTTTGTGTTTTGCATTTGCTTGGTAGATTTTTTTCCATCCTTTTACTTCAAGCCAATGGGTATTGTTGTATATGAGCTGGGTCTCTTGACAACAGATACAGTTGGGCTTTGCTTCTTTATCCAACTTGCCATTCTGTGAGTTTTAAGCGGGGCATTTATACTGTTTACATTCACAGTTAATATTGGCATTTATAGCTTTGGTCCTGCCATTATGTTGTTAGCTGGTTATTATGCAGACTTGATTGTGTAGTTACTTTACACGTCAATGGTCTATGTACTTAAATGTATTTTTGTGGTGGCCATTAACAGTCTTTCACTTCCACGCTTAGCACTCCCTTAAGGACCTCTTGTAAGGCATGTCTGGTGGTAACAGATTCGGTTAGCATTTGTTTGTCTGAAAAGGATCTTACTTCTCCTTCACATATGAAGTTTAGTTTGGCTGGATATTAAGTTCTTGGTTGAATTTTTTTTTTTTTTTTTTTTTTTTTTTTTTTTGTGACAGAGTCTTGCTCTGTCCCCAGGCTGGAGTGCAGTGGTGCTATCTTGGCTCACTGCAACCTCCACCTCCTGGGTTAAGTGATTCTCTTGCCTCAGCCTCCCGAGTAGCTGGGACTACAGACACGCACCACCATGCCCAGCTAATTTTTGTATTTTTATTACAGATGAGGTTTCACCATGTTGGCCAGGATGGTCTTGATCTCTTGACCTTGTGTTCTGCCCCCCTCAGCCTCCCAAAGTGCTGGGATTACAGGCATGAGCCACCACACCTGGCCAAGTATTTTTTTTTTTAAAGAATGCTGAAGGCCGGGCGTGTTGGCTCACACCTGTAATCCCAGCACTTTGAGAGGCCAAGGTGGGCAGATCACGAGGTCAGGAATTTGAGATCACCCTGGCCAATATGGTGAAATCCTGTCTCTATTAAAATTATAAAAAATTGCCGGGTGTTGTGGTGCACACCTGTAGTCCCAGCTACTTGGGAGGCTGAGGGAGAAGAATTGCTTGAACCCGGGAAGTGGAGGTTGCAGTGAGCCAAGATATCACCAGTGCACTCCAGCCTGGGCAACAGAGTGAGACTCCATCTCGAAAAAAAAAAAGAATGTTGAATATAGGCCCCCGGTTTCTTTTGGATTGTAGAGTATCTTATAGTTCCACTGTTAGCCTGATGGGATTCTCTTTGTATGTGACCTGCCCCTTCACTTTAGCTGCCTTTCATATTTTTTTATTTCATGTTGACCTTGGAGAATCTGATGACTGTCTGTCTTGGGGATGGTCATCTTGTATAGTATCTCACAGGATTCTCTGCATTTCCTGGATTTAAATGGTGACTTCTCTAGCAAGATTTGGGAAATTTTTGTGGGCAGTATCCTCAAATATGTTTTCCAACTTGCTTGTTCTTTCTCCCTTTCTTTGAGTGATGCCCTGAGTCATATGTTTGGTCTCTTTACATAATCTCAGATTTCTCAGAGGTTTTGTTCATTCTTTTTTATTCTTTATTTTCATCTGACTGAGTTGATTCAAAGAAGTGGTCTTTGAGATCTGAGATTCTTTCCTCAGCTTGGTCCGTTCTGCTGTTAGTACTTGTTATTGTATTATGAAATTCTTGAGGTGCATTTTTCAGCTCTATCAGTTTCGTTTGGTTCTTTCTTAAAATGCCTATTTCATCTTTCAGCTCTTATGTCATCTTATTGGATTCCTTAAATTATTAGGATTGGATTTTGACTTTCTTCTGAATCTCAATGATCTTTGTTTCTATCCAGATTCTGAATTCTATGTCTGTCATTTAATCTTGCTTAACAACCATTGTTGGAGAGTTAGTATGATTGCTTGAAGACAGGAAGACATTCTGGCTTTTTACATTGCCAGAGTTCTTGCACTAGTTCTTTCACATCTGTGTGGGCTAAGGTTCCTTTAATGTTTTGAATCACTGTCCTTTGGATGGAGTTTTTTCCTTTTTTATATTCTTTAATGCCCTTGAGGGTTTGACTGTGGCACAAGGTAGTTTCAGTCAAATGGCTTCATTTCTGGAAGATTTCAGGGGGCAAAGGCTCAGCTCAGCACTCCTGAACTGCACTTTCTAACTTTGCAAGGCTGGTACCATACCTACAGATTTGTTGTCTGGCCCTTCAATGTTAAGCACTGAGGTGTTCCCAGTTCACTGGCAACAACACTCTGATGGGGTGTGCCAGCCAAAGTGCTTCATTGTAGTGATTGTAACAAGGTCCCCACTCACACATATGTGCCAGCAGCAGCAGCACACAGCAGGTATGCATGTGTTGGCAGGGGTGCAGTGCCAGCAGGAGTGGGATGGGGGTGTTCTGCATACTTGCACGTGCCAGCCGGGGCAATGGTGCTGTGGGGTGCACTCATGTGCTGCTGGAGACAGAGTGGCAGCATCTTCATGAGTTTTATGTTATCATTCTAGATCTTTAAAAATAATATTTTGGACTTCTAACAAATGTATTTGTGAACCCAGAGAAAAAAAGAGTATTATTTTGTGCATTTTTACTTAATCATACCCAAGAAAATTTTACTTTACAATTTGTTCTTTTCACTCAACAATAGTCTTGAGGTTTATCCATCTCAAGATAGATACACATGTAGTTAATTCCTTTTAATTGTATAAGATTACATTGTATGTCAACAGCAGATTTTATTTACAACGTTATAACAAAAATAACATTTTATTTGTCTCATTTTACATAAATATAAGTTTGTCTAGAATAGTTACCTGGGTTACATGCATTTTTAGTTTGATGTATACTGCCAAAATCCTTTCGGTATGGCCACTTTAATTTGCCCTAATACCAACAGCTTATGAGCCTACCTGTTGTTCTTGAAAATCCTTGCAAATCCTTGATATTATTAAATTTTATAATGTTTTCCAGTCTGATAATTGAAAAAATGGCATATTTTTGTTATTTTAATTTGCATTTCTGTGATTATTCACAAGCTTGAATATCTTTTATATATGTGTTGTCCTTCAGCTTTTCCTTATCTGTAACTAGCCTGTTCATATCCTTTGTCCATTTTTTTGTTGAGTTGGTCTTCTTTATTAATTATATCTGTTATATGCATTTGTAAATTATATGTATTGCAAATATCAGTAGATATTTAATTTTGTTTGTGATGATTTTTTTTCACTCTAAGAAGTGTATTTTGTTATTTTCAACAGACAGAATTGCCAATACACAACACTGTTCACTTGACTTTGAAAATGAAAAAGAGAAAAAGAGGAAGAAAGAGCAGAATTGCTTTTGAAGTAGTACTTTATTATAGTACTTTTGAAGTTACTTTTGAAGTGCTACTTTAATATAATTGAATGTATCAAAATCTCTTTTTATGTCTAATGCCTTTGTATGTATCATTCAAAAAGTCCTTTTTACCTCATGATCACAAATATATTATTCTACATCTTTATTTTGTTGTTCAGAGTCTTGCTGTCACCCAGGCTGTAGTGCAGTGGCATGATCTCAGCTCACTGCAACCTCCACCTCCCAGGTTCAAGTGATTCTCCTGCCTCAACCTCCCAAGTAGCTGGGACTACAGGAATGCACCACTGCACCCAGCTATTGGTTTCGCCATGTTGGCCAGGCTGGTCTCAGATTCCTGATCTGTCCACCTCAGCCTCCCAAAGTGCTGGGATTACAGGTGTGAGCCATCATGCCTAGCCCACTACATTTTCTTATTACTACTTTTCCTTTTGAGCTTTTAACATTTATTATGTGTAAGAATCTATCTATATTCCTTTCCACATAAATAGTTATCTCAACACCATTTGTGAAAGATTTCTTTCTTTCTCCCACTGATTTAAAATACCAGTTGTATGATGTAACAAATCCCATAGATTTGTTTCCACACTTTGTATTCTCTTTTCTTCCAATTTATTTTGTCTATTTATATGTCACTATTATTCAGTTTTAACTATTTTACCTTTACAAAAACAGTATCTTGTTTTCTTAAGTTTACTTGATCTTTCATTCTAAGATCTTATTCTTCCAAATGAATTTTATAATCAGCTTGTCAAGCTCAGTAAAAATCCCTGCAAAGATTTTGATTGGCGTATCTCTGATTAATTCATTTGGGGGAGAGATTACATCTTTCTATTATTGAGGCTTTGGCCGGGCGTGGTGGCTCACACCTATAATCCCAGCACTTTGGGAGGCCAAGGCAGGCATATCACTTGAGGTCAGGAGTTCAAGACCAGCCTGGCCAAAATGGTGAAACACCGTATCTACTAAAAACACGAAAACTAGCCAGGCGTGGTGTTGGGTGATGGTAAAATTGGGGCTTTTTAGTTCACACTTGTGAAATGTCTCTCTAAGTATTCAGGTATTATCTTAATTACTATATTATTAGATTCACAATTTTTATAAAAGTATAGACTGTCTTCACAGTTTTGTTCTTAGATACTTTGTTTTTTTAATTGATGTTGTGGATTAAATTCTCTTTGATCACTTATTCCTGGGGAAGCCAGCTGCCATGTCCTGAGGCAGCCCTGTGGAGAAAACCCCGTTGGAAAAAAACTGAAGCCTGCAATGGCTACATGAGTAAACTTGGAAGCAGATCTTCTCCACCCCACCCTACCTCATGGGAAATCTTAAGTCGAGGCATACAGCTAAGCCATGCCCAGATTCCTGACCCACAGAAGTCATAAGACAATAAATATTTGTTGTTTTAAGCTGCTATGTTTGGGGATGACTTGTTAAGCAAAATGAGAAAAATAATACAACAGGTGATTACAATGTGCAGCAGAGTTCAGGAACCACTAAACTAGACCAGTATGTGGTCTTAGAGAAGTCTAGTCTCTTCTTGAGCCCACAGGGAAATCTGTAGCATAAACTGCACCATAGAGTTGTACAGCCAGAAGCAAATCTCACATCAGTCCGTCATTGGCAGATCTGTCTGGAGGGAAAGTAGAGGGGTGCACAACCTCCCTAGTATTCCCAGGTAGGTGCTTGTCAGCAGGACAAGGGTTCTAGAAACCTGCAGATATTAGCAGCCAACAAGCAGCACTGGGAGATGTGTTCATTGACCTGGTAAATGGATTCTGGCAGGAGCACCAAAAGCATTTCTACACAGGATATACTTCACGCTTTATAAAGTAAATGTAGAAGAGATGAGGTGAAATTCTGGATAAGATATGCCAATAGAAGGTATTCTGAGCAGGAGCCTCCCCATTCCTCATGGGTGTCATCAACCACTCCAGAAATGTTCTCATTTGCCTTTGTAACTTAGGTGGCCACACTTGTTTTTTTTGGGCAGACAACTCTGTTCCTTCCTTCCTTACTTACTTATTTACTCAAGAGGTAGGAAATGTGTGGAAGGTAGATTTGTCTGATCATTCTTACAGTGGTAATCCAAATAATCAACTATTTGGTTTCCCCAGAGGTCTCTCCTGCTCCCAGCGTCTGTCATTTCAGGGCTTGGACCACTTTTAGAAGCACATGTATCTTTTGAGGCAATCTTATTTACACACATTTTTGTTTATGGTTTCCTTTTTTCAATCCTAAATTGTCTGTCTCTTATCTTTCTGGCATATGCTTAGTTTCTTGTCCATTGATGATTCACCTTTTGCTTTCTTGTTAGGTTATGAATTTTTCTATTAACTTTACATCTTCATTTCAAAGGATTTAGGAATAGAGGGAGAGGCTGCAACCTGTGCTCAGCCCAACATTTTAAACCACGTCTGTATAAAATTTTAGCTAGCAGTAAACAATGCATGAAAAGTTTTATCACCATTAAATTGCATTCACTCAAATTTGAAATTCTTCTAAACAATGTTTGTTACAAATTTATTATAAACTACTTGTACTTATAAAACACTACTTGATTAAAAAGATGCTTTTAAATTAATTTTCATTCTTTCTTTCAGTTTTGTTTTAGGTGCTGTCTCTCCTGTTGTTGTTGTCCTTTACACGATGGTGTTGCAAGAAAATGGATATGGTGTTGAGGAAGACATTCCAACATTACTAATGGCTGCTAGCAGTATGGATGACATTCTGGCTATCACTGGATTCAATACATGCTTGAGCATAGTCTTCTCCTCGGGTAAACAAGAAAATATAACAACCACCAGATCATTCATGACCTTTTTTGTGAGTTCTTTAAACAGGGTTTCTGGCTTTGCTTCTTCATGTATTAACCAAGACTGTTCAATTTAACATCTTTTTAATCTCCATAGAAAGCTCATTCCAGACCAAGGAAGATATTTCAGTGGCTTAAGATACAACTACTTAACACACATGATCTCACTTTAATAATCATGTGACAATTAATTTGATAAACCATATTATTACTATTTAACTGCTTCTGTTGCTTTTGAATTTTATCAGTTCTCATTGGAAAAAATTAAACAGCAATATTATTTGTACTACTAATATTTTAATAGGCATTTTTGAAATGTGCCTTTTTGGCCATCCTAATAAACAACTGGTTGCTCTATTATAAGACAACATAAACATACAGAGCTGGGACAGCCATATGCCTTTTTGGTAGTGTTAGGACAAGATCCTGCACCAGTTCTGATTCCCAAGGTGATATCTGGTCTTGAATATCACTACAGAAATTGTGAAACTAAACATTTCCACATTTAATAATGCTTTAATTATCTGCAATGTTTGAGTCTTCTGTATTATTGAAATGCTAAACTATTTTTAAGTTGAAAAGTAATATATATACTTTTATAGTTTCTCTTAAAATAAGAAAATATAAATAAATCAGAAAAAGAGGAAAAGTTAAAAATAAAATCTGCAATAGTCACATCCAGAAGAAAAGAATCATTTCCTTCTGAACCTTTTGATATAAATCCACCCATATTCCCTTCCCTTCCCTTTTTCCCTTCTTCCCTTCCCTTCCCTTCCCCTCTCCTCCCCCTTCCCTTCCCTTACCCCTCTCTCTCTGTCAAATATTCTTATAAAAATCAGTGAATATTGACCAATATGTTCTTTTATTTTTTTTTTTTTTTGAGGCGGAGTCTTGCTCTGTCACCCAGGTTGGAGTGCAGTGGCACAATCTCGGCTCACTGCATGCTCTGCCTCCCGGGTTCATGCCATTCTCCTGCCTCAACCTCCCAAGTAGTTGGGACTACAGGCGCCCGCCACCGCGCCTGGCTAATTTTTTTTTGTATTTTTAGTAGAGCCAGCGTTTCACCGTGTTAGCCAGGAAGGTCTTGATCTCCTGACCTCGTGATCCGCCTGCCTCGGCCTCCCAAAGTGCTGGGATTACAGGCGTGAGCCATCGCACCCGGCCTAATATGTTCTTATAACCTGAATTGTTTTACACTTAACTGTATATCACAAACATGTTTCTTTTCAGTAAATGTATTTGTATATCATTTTTAATAGTTGTTTAGCTTAATGAAAGAGTATTCAATGCGCTGCATCATGATTACTTATCCTGTTCAAAATTAAAGTTAACTCCAATATTTACTATTAAAATAATACTTAGTTGTGCTGCTATAAAAATATATTTTTAAATTAAAAAATTGGCCGGGCATGGTGGCTCACACCTATAATCCCAGCACTTTGGGAGGCCAAGAAGGGTGGATCACTTGAGGTCAGGAGTTCAAGACCAGCCTGGCCAACGAACATGGTGAAACCCCGTCTCCACTAAAAATACAAAACTTAGCCGGGCATGGTGGTGGGCATCTGTAATCCCAGCTACTCAGGAGGCTGAAGCAGAAGAATAACTTGAACCCAGGAGGCGGAGGCTGTAGTGAGCTATCCAGCCTGGGCAACAGAGCGAGACTCTGTCTCAAAAAAATTTTTTTAATTAAAAAAATAATACTTAGTAGAACATATAGGGAAATATTTGTACCTAATCTTCATATTTTCTTAAGCTTAAAAGTGTAATTGTTGATCTAAAAGGTATATACATTTATGAGTGTTCTGAAACATATTGCCACAATATCATGTCCTACCAGGGTACATAAACTTGTCATTTCCTCTCACCTCTCTTCAAAACTTGGTATTACTAGCCTTTTTCATCTTTGCTAATTTGATAGGTGAAGGAGGGATCTCTATAAATGAAGTACTTTGAATACTAGTGTTGTTAAATATCCATGTTTATTAGTCATTGGCATTTTGTAAATTGCTTTTCTTGAAAGTTTTTTGCCTATTTCTTTTAGGTGGGTTCACCTTTTGTTCTTTTTGATTTGTCAAGATTCTGCATTAAATTGAGAATGAAAACCTTTGTTTTATATACTTTAGTTTTTTCAATTTGTAATTTGGCTTTTAATTTTCTCACTCTTTTTACCATTCAGAAGTTAAAGTTTTTTATTGTCAATTGTGAAAATCTTTTCCTTCATGATTGGTATCTGTCATTCTTTCAAAAAATATTCTTATCAGTCATGTTTCAAAAAAATATTTCCAGGCTGGGCCCAATGGCTCACGCCTATAATCCCAACACTTTGGGAGGCCAAAGCGGGGGGATCACTTGAGGACATGAGTTCAAGACCAGCCTGGCCAACATAGCAAAGCTCCATCTCTACTAAAAATACAAAACGTTAGCTGGGTGTGGTGGCACAGGCCTGTAATCCCAGCTACTCAGGGGGCTGAGGCACAAGAATCACTTGAACCCAAGAAGCAGAGGTTGCAGTGAGCCAAGATCACACCACTGCACTCCAGCCTGGGTGACAGAGGGAGACTGTCTGAAAAAAAGAAAAAAAAAAATTCCTCTTCCTTTTGCCGGCTACTATGCCAAACACTGAGAATAAACAGTAGGCAACAACATTAGCTTTTATTGAATACTTACTTGGCTCTTGTTCTAAGTTCCATATATGTCACCACTCATTTACAGGTAAGGAAACTGAGAAAGATGTTAAGTAATTTTCTCCAGGACAGAGATCCAATAAGTAGGGGAGCCGAGATGCAAATCTGACAGTCTTTCACTCCATACCCACACATTTAACTCTTCTCTTCTCCACTGCCTCCCAACACAACAGAGAGACAAGATCAAATGGTGCATGTTCTCAAGGAGCTTGTATATTAAAGAAAAATTACAAATGGGATGAATATTACATTGTGAAGGTTAATATTCAGTAAGGTGTCAACTTGATTGGATTGAAGGATCCAAAGTATTGTTCCCGGTTGTTTCTGTGAGGGTGTTGTCAAAGGAGATTAACATTTATTTAGTGGACTGGGAAAGGCAGATCCACCCTCAATGTGGGTGGGCACCATACAATCAGCTGCCAGCATGGCTAGAATAAAGCAGGCAGAAGGAGGTTAGTAGAAGCTGACTTGCTGAGCCTTCTGCCCTCATCTTTCTCCCATGCTGGATGCTTCCTGCACTCAAATGTCAGACTCCAGGTTCTTTGGCTTTTGGACTCTTGGACTTACTCCAGTTGTTTTCCAGGGGCTCTCAGGCCTTCATCCAGAGACTCAAAGCTGGCCTGTCGGTTTCCCTACTTTTGAGGTGTTGGGACTCGGACTGAGCCAATATTAGATTCCTTGCTCCTCAACTTGCAGACGGCCTGTTGTAGGACTTCAATTGTGATGGTGTGAATCAATTCTCCTTAATAAACTCCCTTTCATATATATATATATATATATATATATATATATATATATATATATATATATATATATATATATCCTATTAGTTCTATCCCTCTAGAGAACCATGACTAATACAGATTCTGATACTGAGGTAATGGAATATTGCTATAAGATACCTGAGAATGTGGAAGTGACTTTGGAACTGTGTAATGTGCAGAGTTTGGAACAGTTGGGAGGACTCAGAAGAAGACCAGAAGATGTGGGAAAGTTTGGAACTGCCTAGAGACTTGTTGAATGGCTTTGACCAAACTGCTGATAGTGACTTGGACAGTGAAGTCCAGGCTGAGGAGGTCCGAGATGGAGATGAACAACTTGTTGGGAACTGAAATAAAGGTCACTCTTGCTATGCTTTAGCAAAGAGACTGGTGGCATTTTGCCCCTGCCCTACAGATTTATGGAACTTTGAAATTGAGAGAGATGACTGAGGACATCTGGTAGAAGAAACGTTTGTTGTTGTTGTTGTTGTTATACCTTAAGTTCTAGGGTACATATGCACAACGTGCAGGTTTGATACATAGGTATACATGTGCCATGTTGGTTTGCTGCACCCATCAACTCATCATTTACATTAGGTATTTCTCCTAATGCTCTCCCTCCCCCAGCCCTCCACCCCCCAACAAGCCCCAGTGTGTGATGTTCCCAGCCCTGTGTCCAAGTGATCTCATTGTTCAATTCCCATCTATAAGTGAGAACATGTGGTGTTTGGTTTTCTGTCCTTGTGATAGTTTTGCTGAGAATGATGGTTTCCAGCTTCATTTATCTCCCTGCAAAGGACATGAACTCATCCTTTTTTATGGCTGCATAGTATTCCATGGTGTATATGTGCCACATTTTCTTAATCCAGTCTATCATTGTTGGACATTTGGGTTGGTTCCAAGTGTTTGCTATTGTTAATAGTGCCGCAATAAACATACATGTGCATGTGTCTTTATAGTAGCATGATTTATAATCCTTTGGGTATATACCCAGTAATGGGATTGCTGGGTCAAATGGTAATTCTAGTTCTAGATCCTCGAGGAATCACCACAATGTCTTTCACAATGGTTGAACTAGTTTACACTCCCACCAACAGTGTAAAAGCGTTCCTATTTCTCCATATCCTCTCCAGCACCTGTTGTTTCCTGACTTTTTAATGAATGCCATTCTAACTGGGGTGAGATGGTATCTCATTGTGGTTTTGATTTGCATTTCTCTGATGACCAGTGATGGTGAGCTTTTTTTCTTGTGTCTGTTAGCTGCATAGATGTCTTCTTTGGAGAAGTGTCTATTCATATCTTTGCCCACTTTTTGATGGGGTTGTTTTTTTCTTGTAAATTTGTTTGAATTCTTTCTTTGTCAAATGGGTAGATTGCAATTTATCTCCCATTCTGTATGTTGCCTGGTTCACTCTGATGGCAGTTTCTTTTGCCGTGCAGAAGCTCTTTAGTTTAATTAGATCCCATTTGTCAATTTTGGCTTTCGTTGCCATTGCTTTTGGTGTTTTAGTCATGAAGTCCTTGCTCATGCCTATGGCCTGAATGGTATTGCCTAGGTTTTCTTCTAGGGTTTTTATGGTTTTAGGTCTAACATTTAAGTCTTTAATCCACCTTGAATTAATTTTTGTATAAGATGTAAGGAAGGGATCCAGTTTCAGCTTTCTACATATAGCTAGCCAGTTTTCCCAGCGTCATTTATTAAATAGGCAGTCCTTTCCCCATTTCTTGTTTTTGTCAGGTTTGTCAAAGATCAGATGGCTGTAGATGTGTGGTCTTATTTCTGAGGCCTCTGTTCTGTTCCATTGGTCTATATATCTGTTTTGGCACCAGTACCATGCTGTTTTGGTTACTGTAGCCTTGTAGTATAGTTTGAAGTCAGGTAGTGTGATGCCTCCAGATTTGTTCTTTTTGCTTAGGATTGTCTTGGCAATGCAGGCTCTTTTTTGGTTCCATATGAACTTTAAAGTAGTTTTTTCCAATTCTGTGAAGAAATTTATTAGTAGCTTGATGGGGATGGTATTGAATCTATAAATTACTTTGTGCCGTATGTCCATTTTCATGATATTGATTCTTCCTATCCATGAGCGTGGAATATTCTTCCATTTGTTTGTGTCCTCTTTTAATTCGTTGAGCAGTGGTTTGTAGTTCTCCTTGAAGAGGTCCTTCACAACCCTTGTAAGTCAGATTCCTAGGTATTTTATTCTCTTTGTAGCAATTGTGAATGGGAGTTCACTCATGATTTGGCTCTCTGTCTATTAATGGTGTATAGGAATGCTTGTGATTTTTGCACATTAATTTTGTATCCTGAGAGTTTGCTGAAGTTGCTTATCAGCTTAAGGAGATTTTGGGCTGAGATGATGGGGTTTTCTAAATATACAATCATGTCATCTGCAAACAGGGACAATTTGACTTCATCTTTTCCTAACTGAATACCATTTATTTCTTTCTCCTGCCTGATTCCACTGGTCAGAACTTCCAACACCATGTTGAATAAGAGTGGTGAGAGAGGGCATCCTTGTCTTGTGCCGGTTTTCAAAAGGAATGCTTCCAGTTTTTGCCCATTCAGTATGATATTGGCTGTGGGTTTGTCATAAATAGCTCTTATTATTTTGAGATACGTCCCATCAGTATCTAGTTTATTGAGAGTTGTTAGCATGAAGGAGTGTTGAATTTTGTCAAAGGTCTTTTCTGCATCTCTTGAGATAATCATGTGGTTTTTGTCTTTGGTTCTGTTTATGTAATGGATTACGTTTATTGATTTGCATATGTTGAACCAGCCTTGCATCCCAGGGATGAAGCCCACTTGATCGTGGTGGATAAGCTTTTTGATGTGCTGCTGGATTTGGTTTGCCAATATTTTATTGAGGATTTTTGCATCGATGTTCATCAAGGATATTGGTCTAAAATTCTCTTTTTTTGTTGTGTCTCTGCCAGGCTTTGGTACCAGGATGATGTTGGCCTCATAAAATGAGTTAGGGAGGATTCCCTATTGTTCTTTTTTTTTGGATGAAAAAAGAACTGTTTAATTTTTTTGATGTTTTCAATGTTGATATGTTTTCCAAGAATTAGAGAAATATCTCTGGATGGTTATCTAAAATTTATAATTTTTCTACAGATATGGTATGTAGGAGAGTGTCATAGTTTTTCTATTATTATACTTTAAGTTCTAGGGTACATGTGCACAATGTGCTGGTTTGTTACATATGTATACATGTGTCATGTTGGTGTGCTGCACCCATTAACTAGTCATTTACATTAGATATATCTCCTAATGCTATCCCCCCTCCCCCCACTCCATGACAGGCCCCAGTGTGTGATGTTCCCCACCCTGTGTCCAAGTGTTCTCATTGTTCAATTCCCACCTATGAGTGAGAACATGTGGTGTTTAGTTTTCTGTCCTTGTGATAGTTTTCTCAGAATGATGGTTTCTAGCTTCATCCATGTCCTTACAAAGGACATGAACTCATCCTTTTTATGGCTGCATAGTATTCCATGGTGTATATGTGCCGCATTTTCTTAATCCAGTCTATCATTGATGGACATTTAGGTTGGTTCCAAGTCTTTGCTATTGTGAATAGTGCCGCAATAAACATACGTGTGCATGTGTCTTTATAGCAGCACGATTCACAATCCTTTGGGTATATGCCCAGTAATGGGATGGCTGGGTGAAATGGTATTTCTAGTTCTAGATCTTTGAGGAATTGCCACACTGTCTTCTACAATGATTGAACTAGTTTACACTCCCACCAACAGTGTAAAAGCCTTCCTATTTCTCCATATCCTCTCCAGCACATGTTGTTTCCTGACTTTTTAATGATCGCCATTCTAATTGGTGTGAGATGGTATCTCATTGTGGTTTTGATTTGCATTTCTCTGATGGCCAGTGATGATGAGCATTTTTCCAGTGTCTGTTGGCTTCATAGATGTCTTCTTTTGAGAAGTGTCTGTTCATACCCTTTGCCCACTTTTTGATGGGGTAGTTTGATTTTTTCATATAAATTTGTTTAAGTTCTTTGTAGATTCTGGATATTAGCCCTTTGTCAGATGGGTAGATTGTAAAAATTTTCTCCCATTCTGTAGGTTGTCTGTTCACTCTGATGGTAGTTTCTTTTGCTATGCAGAAGCTCTTGAATTTAATTGGATCTCATTTGTCAATTTTGGCTTTTGTTGCCATTGCTATTGGTGTTTTAGTCATGAATTCCTTGCCCATGCCTATGTCCTGAATGGTATTGTCTAGGTATTCTTCTAGGATTTTTATGGTTTTAGGTCTAACATTTAAGTCTTTAATCCATCTTGAATTAATTTTTATATAAGTTGTAAGGAAGGGATCTAGTTTCAGCTTTCCACATATGGCTAGCCAGTTCTCCCAGCACCATTTATTAAATAGGGAATCCTTTCCCCATTTCTTGTTTATGTCAGGTTTGTCAAAGATCAGATGGTTGTAGATGTGTGGTATTATTTCTGAGGGCTCTATTCTGTTCCATTGGTCTGTATCTCTGTTTTGGCACCAGTACCATGCTGTTTTGGTTACTGTAGCCTTGTAGTGTAGTTTGAAGTCAGGTAGTGTGATGCCTCCAGATTTGTTCTTTTTGCTTAGGATTGACTTGGCAATGCAGGTTCTTTTTTGGTTCCATATGAACTTTAAAGTTGTTTTTTCCAATTCTGTGAAGAAAGTCATTTGTAGCTTGATGGGGATGGCATTGAATCTATAAATTATCTTTGGCTGTATGGCCATTTTCACGATATTGATTCTTCCTATCCATGAGCATGGAATGTTCTTCCATTTGTTTGTGTCCTCTTTTATTTTGTTGAGCAGCGATTTGTAGTTCTCCTTGAAGAGGCCCTTCACGTCCCTTGTAAGTTGGATTCCTAGGTATTTTATTCTCTTTGAAGCAATTGTGAATGGAAGTTCACTCATGATTTGGCTCTCTGTTTGTCTGTTATTGGTGTATAGGAATGCTTGTGATTTTTGCACATTGATTTTGTATCCAGAGACTTTGCTGAAGTTGCTTATCAGCTTAAGGAGATTTTGAGCTGAGATGATGGGGTTTTGTGAATATACAGTCATGTCATCTTCAGACAGGGACAATTTGACTTCCTCTTTTCCTAACTGAATACCCTTTATTTCATTCTCTTGCCTGATTTCCCTGGCCAGAACTTCCAAGACTATTTTGAATAGGAGTGGTGAGAGAGAGAATCGTTGTCTTGTGCCAGGTTTCAAAGGGAATGCTTCCAGTTATTGTCCATTCAGTATGATATTGGCTGTGTGTTTGTCATAAATAGCTCTCATTATTTTGAGATACGTCCCATCAGTACCTCGTTTATTGAGAGTTCTTAGCATGAAGGGCTGTTGAATTTTGTCAAAGGTCTTTTCTGCATCTATTAAGATAATCATGTGGTTTTTGTCTTTGGTTCTGTTTATAGGATGTATTACGTTTATTGATTTGCGTATGTTGAACCAGTCTTGCATCCTAGGGATGCCAACTTGATCATGGTGGATAAGCTTTTTGATGTGCTGCTGGATTCAGTTTGTTAGTATCTTATTGAGGATATTTGCATCAATGTTCATCAGGGATATTGGTCTAAAATTCTCTTTTTTGTTGTTGGTGTGTCTCTGTCAGGCTTTGGTATCAGGATGATGTTGGCCTCATTAAATGAATTAGGGAGGATTCTATCTTTTTCTATTGATTGGAAAAGTTTCAGAAAGACTGGTACCAGCTCCTCTTTGTACCTCTGGTAGAACTCAGCTGTGAATCCATCTGGTCCTGGACTTTTTTTTGGTTGGTAGGCTATTAATTATTGCCTCAAGTTCAGAGCCTGTTATTGGTCTATTCAGATATTCAACTTCTTCCTGGTTTAGTCTTGCAAGGGTGTATGTGTCCCAGAATTTATCCATTTCTTCTAGATGTTCAAGTTTATTTGTGTATAGGTGTTTATAGTATTCTCTGATGGTAGTTTTTACTTCCCTGGGCTCAGTGGTGATATCCCCTTTATCATTTTTATTGCATCTATTTGATTCCTCTCTCTTTCCTTCTTTATTAGTCTTGCTAGCAGTCTATCAATTTTGTTGATCTTTTCAAAAAACCAGCTCCTGGATTCATTGCTTTTTTGAAGGGATTTTGTGTCTCTGTCTCCTTCAGCTCTGCTCTGATCTTATTTTTTCCTTCTGCCAGCTTTTGAATGTGTTTGCTCTTGCTTCTCTAGTTCTTTTAATTGTCATGTTAGGGGGTCAATTTTAGATCTTTCCTGCTTTCTCTTCTGGGCATTTAGTGCTATCAATTTCCCCCTACACACTGCTTTAAATGTGTCCCAGAGATTCTGGTACATTGTGTCTTTGTTTTCATTGGTTTCAAAGAACATCTTTATTTCTGCCTTCATTTTGTTATTTACCCAGTAGTCATTCAGGAGCAAATTGTTCAGTTTCCATGTAGTTGTTCAGTTTTGAGTGAGCTTCTTAATCCTAAGTTCGAATTTGATTGCACTGTGGTCTGAGAGACAGTTTGTTGTGATTTCTGTTCTTTTACATTTGGTGAGGAGTGCTTTACTTCCAATTATGTGGTCAAATTTAGAATAAGTGATATGTGGTGCTGAGAATAATGTATACTCTGTTGATTTGAGGTGGAGATTTCTGTGGATGTCTATTGGGTCTGTTTGTTGCAGAGCTGAGTTCAGGTCCTGGATATCTTTGTTAACCTTCTGCCTTGTTGATCTTTCTAATATTGACAGTTCGGTGTTAAAGTCTCCCATTATTATTGTGTGGGAGTCTAAGTCTCTTTGTAGGTCTCTAAGGACTTGCTTTATGAATCTGGGTGCTCTTGTATTGGGTGCATATATATTTAGGATAGTTAGCTCTTCTTGTTGCATTGATCCCTTTACCATTATGTAATGGCCTTTGTCTCCATTGATCTTTGTTGGTTTAAAGTCTGTTTTATCAGAGACAAGGATTGCAACCCCTGCCTTTTTTTGTTTTCCATTTTCTTGGTAGATCTTCCTCCATCCCTTTATGTTGAACCTATGTGTGAATTTGCGCATGAGATGGGTCTCCTGAATACAGCACACTGATGGGTCTTGACTCTTTATCCAATTTGCCAGTCTGTGTCCTTTAATTGGGGCATTTAGCCCATTTATGTTTACAGTTAATATTGTAATGTGTGAATTTGATCCTGTCATTATGATATTCGCTGTTATTTGCCCGTTAATTGATGCAGTTTCTTCCTAGCATTGATGTTCTCTATAACTTGGCATGTTTTTGCACTGGCTGGTACCGGGTGTTTCTTTCCATGTTTAGTGCTTCCTTCAGGAGCTCTTGTAAGGCAGGCCTGGTGGTGACAAAATCTCTCAGCATTTGCTTGTCAGTAAAGAATTTTATTTTCTCCTTCACTTATGAAGCTTAGTTTGGCTGGATATGAAACTCTGGATTGAAAATTATTTTCTTTAAGAATGTTGAATATTGGCCCCCACTCTCTTCTGGATTGTAGGGTTTCTGCCAAGAGATCAGCTGTTAGTCTGATGGGCTTCCCTTTGTGGCTAACCTGACCTTTCTCTCTGGCTGCCCTTAACACTTTTTCCTACACTTCAACCTTGGTGAATCTGACAATTATGTGTCTTGGAATCGCTCTTCTCAGAGAGTATCTTTGTGTTGTTCTCTGTATTTCCTGAAGTTGAATGTTGGCCTGCCTTGCTAGGTTGGGGAAGTTCTCCTGGATAATATCCTGCAGACTGTTTTCCAACTTGGTTCCATTCTCCTTATCACTTTCCGGTACACCAATCAAATATAGATTTGGTCTTTTCACATGGTCCCATATTTCTTGGAGGCTTTCTTCATTTCTTTTTACTCTTGTTTCTCTAACCTTGTCTTCTCACTTTATTTCATTTATTTGATCTTCAATCACTGATACCCTTTCTTCCACTTGATTGAATCGGCTATTGAAGCTTGTGCATGTGTCACAAAGTTCTCGTGCCATGGTTTTCAGCTCCATTGGGTCACTTAAGGTCTTCTCTACACTGTTTATTCTTGTAAGCCATTCGTCTAATCTTTTTTCAAGGTTTTTAGCTTCCTTGCAATGGGTTCCAACATCCTCCTTTAGCTCGGAGAAGTTTGTTATTACCAACCTTCTGAAGCCTACTTCTGTCAACTCGTCAAAGTCATTCTACGTCCAGCTTTGTTCCATTGCTGACAAGGAGCTGTGATCCTTTGGAGGAGAAGGGGTGCTCTGATTTTTAGAATTTTCAGCTTTTCTGCTCTGGTTTATCCCCATCCTTTTGGTTTTATCTACCTTTGGTCTTTGATATTGTTGATCTACAGATGGGGTTTTGGTTAGATGATCTTTTGTTAATGTTGACACTATTCCTTTCTGTTTTTTAGTTTTCCTTCTAACAGTCAGGACCCTCAGCTGCAGATCTGTTGGAGTTTGCTGGAGTTCCACTCCAGACACTGTTTGCCTGGGTATCACCAGTGGAGGCTGCAGAACAGCAAATATTGCAGAACAGCAAATATTGCTGCCTGATCCTTCCTCTGGAAGCTTTGTCCAAGAGGGGCAGCCGCCTATATGAGGTGTCTGTCAGCCCCTACTGGGAGGTGTGTCCCAGTTAGGCTACACAGGGGTCAGGGACCCACTTGAGGAGGCAGTCTGTCCATTCTCAGAACTCAAACGCCATGCTGGGAAAACCACTGCTCTCTTCAGAGCTGTCAGACAGGGACGTTTAAGTCTGCAGAAGTTGCTGCCTTTTGTTCAGCTATCCCTGCCCACAGACGTGGAGTCTAGAGGCAATGGGCCTTGTTGAGCTGCGGTGGGCTCCACCGAGTTCAAGCTTCCCTGGCCACTTTGTTTACCTACTTAAGCCTCAGCAATGATGGACGCCCCTCCCCCAGCCAGGCTGCCACCTCACAGATGGATTTCAGACTGTTGTGCTAGCAGTGAGCAAGGCTCCATGGGTGTGGGACCCACTGAGCCAGGCACAGGAGAGAATCACCTTGTCTGCTAGTTGCTAAGACCTTGGGAAAAGTGCAGTATTTGGGCGGGAGTGCCCTGTTTTTCCAGGTAGTCTGTCACAGCTTCCCTTGGCTAGGAAAGGGAAATCCCCCAACCCCTTGTGCTTCCCGGGTGAGGCGACACCCCACCCTGCTTCAGCTCACCCTCTGTGGGCCTGCACCCACTCTCCAACCAGTCCCAATGAGATGAACCAGGTACCTCAGTTGGAAGTGCAGAAATCACCTGTCTTCTGTGTCGATCATGCTGGGAGCTGCAGACCGGAACTGTTCCTATTTTGCCATCTTGGAATCCATCCAGGACATCTGGTAGAAGAAATTTGTAAGCAGCAAAGTGTTCAATTTATGACCTGAGTGCTCTTAAAAGTGTTCAGTTTTATGTGTTCACAAAAATATGGTTTGGAATTAGAACTTATGTTTAAAAGGGAGCAGAGCATGAAAGTTTGGAAGATTTGCAGCCTGATGATGTGATAGAAAAGAAAACCCATTTTCTGGGGAGAAATTCAAGCTGACTGCAGAAATTTGCAGAAGTAACAAGGAGCCAAATGTTAATTGACAAGATAATGGGGAAATTGTCTCCAGGGCATGTCAGAGTTCTTCACGACAGCCCCTCCCATCACAGGGTTGGAGGCCTAGGAGGGAAAAAATGGTTTTGTGGGCCAGGCCCAGAACTTTGCTGCTCTGTGCAGTCTTGGGACTTGGTGCCCTGTGTCCCAGCCATGGCTAAAAGGAGCCAATGTGCAGCTCAGGCTATTGCTTCAGAGTTCAATCCCCAAGCCTTGGCAGTTTCCATGTAGTGTTGGGTTGATATGCTAGTTGGCCATTTGTATTTCTTTTTGGAAAAAATGTCTATTCAAGTCTATCTTAGTCCATTCCTGCTGCTATAACAAAATACCTTAGGCTGGTAATTTATAAACAACAGAAATTTATTTCTTGCATTCTGGAGTGTGAGAAGTCCAAGATTTAGGCTACGACAGACTCAGTGACTGGTGAGGTCACTATATTCACTATATATAGCACCTTCTCTGTGTCCTCAAATGTTCAAAAGGGAAAACAAACTCCCTTAAGCCTCTTTTATAAAGGCCCTAGTCCCATTTCTGAGAGCTATGACTTCATGAACTAATCATCTCCAAAATGCCCCACCTCTTAATATTATCACATTGAATATTAGGCTCCAGCATATGAATATTGGGAGAACATTTGGACCATAGCAAAGTCAACTGACCATTTCTCATTTAGGTTGTTTTGTTATTGAGTTGTTGTTCTGTATATATTTTAGATATTAACCCCTTATCAGGTATTTGGTTTGCTGGGAGGTTTTTGATTCCTGATTCAGTTACTAGTTATAGGTTTATTAAGATTTTTTATTTTGTGACTTAGTCTTGGTAACTTGCATGTTACAAGGAATCTGTTCATTTCTCCTAGGTTATCCAACTTGTCAGTATATAATCATTCATAGTAGACTCTTAGAATCCTTTTTATTTCTGTAATATCTGTTGCAGTGTCTTCTCTTTTGTTCCTAAAAGAAGTTGAGTCTTCTTTTTTTTTCTTAAATATTCTAGCTAATGATTTGTCAATTTTGTTGAACTTTGAAACAACTACTAGTTTCATTGGATTTTTTCTATTCTCTAGCCTTTTTTTTTTTTTTTTTTTTTTGAGATGGAGTTTTGCTCTTATTGCCCAGGCTGTAGTGCAATGGCGTGATCTCCGCTCGCTGCAACCTCCACCTCCCAGTTCAAGTGACTCTCCTGCCTCAGCCTCCAGAGTAGCTGGGATTACAGGCATGAACCACCATGCCCGGCTAATTTTGTATTTTTTAGTAGAGACACGTTTCTCCATGTTGCTGAGGCTGGTCTCGAACTCCCGACTTCAGGTGATCCACCTGCCTCGGCCTCCCAAAGTGCTGGGATTACAGTCGTGAGCCACTGCTCCCGGCCTTCTGCTCTAGACTTTATTATTTCCTTCCTGTTGCTAACATTGGGTTGAGTTCTTCTTTTTCCAGTTTCTTGAGGTGTAAAGCTAAGTTGCTGATTTTAGATCTTTCTTCTTTTTTAAGGTAGGTAGTTAGATATATAAACTGTCCTCTTCATATTCATTTTGCTGCATCCCACAAGCTTTGGAATGTTGTGTTTCCATTTTTATTTGTCTCAAGACATTTTCTAATTTTCCTTGTGACTTATTCTTTGACTATGTATTAATCAGAGTTCTCAAGAGGGTCAGATCCAATAGGAAATATAGATATAGATACAGATATGGATGATATAGATATATATATAGATAATAGATATAGATATAAATATATACACATGCATCTAAAAGAGAATATATTTACATATATATGAAATATAATTTATTAAGGAGATTTGGCTCACATAATTACAAAGGCAAAGTCCCACAATAGGCCATCTATAAGCTGGAAAATGAGAGAAGCCTACAGCATGGCTCCCAAGGAAGCCAGTGACATGGCTCAGTCCCAGTCTGAAAGTCTCAAAACCAGGGAGGCTGACAGTGCAGCCACTAGTCTGAGGACCAAGGCCTGAGAGCTCCCAAAAGGCTGCTGATGCAAGTCCCAGGGTCCAAAGGCCAAAGAACCTAGAGTTTGATGTGCAAGGGCAAGAGGAAAAAAAGGCATACTGCTCTGGAAGAGAGAGAAAGTGCATAAAAAAGAAATCCAAGCAAGCTGAATGTTCCCATTCTTCTGCCTTTTTGTTCTAGTCACACTTGCAACCAATTGCATGATGCCTACCCACAGTGAGGATGGGTTTTTCTCTCTCAGTCCACTAACTCATCCATCATTCTCCTGTGGCAGCACCCTCACAGATATACACACACACAGTGCTTCATCAGGCATCTAAGCATCCCTCAATCAAATTGTCAATTAATATTAACCACACAGGTCAATTGGTTAAGAGAGTATATTTTTGTAATTTCCACATATTTATTACTTTTCCTTTTTCCTTCTGCTATGAATTTGTAATTTCATTTAATGTGGTCAGAAAAGATATTTGGTATGAGTTCAGTTTTCTTAAATTTTTAAAAACTTGTTTGTGGACTAGCATGTCATCTATCCTGGAATCGTCTTGGTATGTACTTGAGAAGAAAGTGTATTTTGCTATTATTGGGTGAAGTGTTCTGTATATGTCAGACAGGTCCAATTGGTCTATAATGTTGTTCAAGTTCTGTGTTTTCCAGTTGATCTTCTGTCTGGTTATTGTATCCATAATTGAAAGTGGAATATTGAAGTTTTCTGTTATTATGATGTTGCTATCTATGTTACCCCTCAATTCTGTCTATGTTAGCTTCATATATTTAGATGCTGTACTGTTAGTTACATATACATTTATAATTGCTATATCTTCTTGGTCAATTGGCCCTTTTATTATTATGTAATATCCTTGTCTGTTGTGCTATTATTTGAATTAAACTCTATTTTGTCTAAGTATGGCCATCCTTGTTCTCTTTTGGTTACCAAATGCATTGAATATCTTTTTCCATCCTTTCACTTTCAACCTTTGTGTGTGTTTAGATCTAACATAAGTCTCTTGCATATAGTATATATTTACATTTTTTTAATCCATTCAGCCAATTCTCTGTCTTTTGATTGGAAAATTAGCCTATTTGCATTTAAAGTAGTTACTGATAGGGAGGGGCTTACTATTGTCATTTTGTTCATTGTTTTATACATGTCTTGCAGGTATTTTTTTCCACTTTTCCTCTCTTTCTGCCTCCCTTTATGTTTCACTGATTCCTTTTTTTGGTAGGGACGTGCTTTGGTTCCTTTCTCATTTTTATTTGTGTAACTTCTGTAGGTCTTTTCTTTGTGGTTACTGTAGAATTACATGAAAACATCTTATAGTTATAATAATCTATTTTAAATTGACAACAACTTAACTTTAATCACATACAAAAACTCTACTTCTTTACACCTCCTTCTCACTTTGTTATCAATGTCACACTATATATTTTATATTGTTTATTCACATAATTTAATACAGTAATATTATGCTTTCAACTTTTAAATTCTATGCATCAATTAAAAGTGAATTACAGGCTGGGTGTGGTGTCTCCCACCTGTAGACCCAGCACTTTGACAGGCCAAAATGGGAGGATCGCTTGAGCCTAGGAGTTTGAGACCAGCAAGGCCTTATGTCTGCTAAAAATTTAAAAATATTATCTGAGTGTGGTGGTGCATGTCTGTAGTCCCAGCCACTCGGGAGGCTGAGGTGGGAGGATTGCTTTAGCCCAGGACTACAAGGCTGCAGTGAGCCATGATCAAACCACTGCACTCCAGCCTGGGCAACAGAGCAAGACTTCGTCTCAAAAAAAAAAAAAAGTAAAGGAAAAAAAGTGTTTTGCTTACCACCATTAGAGTATTAAAAGATTCTATGTTCACTCATATATTTACCTTTACCAAAGAAGTTTATATTTTGTATGCTTTTGTATTTCTATCCAATGCCTTTTCATTTCCACTTGGAGGACTCCCTTTAACATTTTTTGTAAGGTAGGTCTAGTGGTGATCAACTCCCTCACCTTTTACTTCTCTGGGGAACTCTTCGTTTGTCCTTCATTTTTGAAGTAGAGTTTTACTGGCTATACAGTTCTTGTTGACAGTTTTTTTTTTCTTTCAGCCCTTTTAATATATCATCCCATTCTCTTCTGGTCTGTAGAGTTTTTGCTGATAATTCCATTGATAACCATATGGCATCTCCCTTGTATGTGACAAGTTGCTTTGGTCCTGTTCCTTTCAAAATTCTCTCTTTGTCTTTGACTTTTGACAGTTTGATTGTAATGTGTCTCATTGTAGGTCTTTTGCAAATTATCCAACTTGGAGTTCTTTGAGCCTCTTGGATTTGTATGTCCATTTCCTTCTTTAAGTTTGAGAAGTTTTTGGTCATTATTTTTTTAACTGGCTCTCTGCCCCTTTATTTTTCTCTCCTCCGGGCACTTTCATAATGCATACATTGGTCTGCTTGATGGCATCCTGTAAGTCTCTTAGGCTGTCTTCACTCTTCACTCCTTTTCCCTTTTGCTCTTCTGACTCCATAATTTCAAATGACTAGTCTTCCGTTTCACTGATTCTTTCTTCTGCTTGATGTTATTGAAACTGCCTTTGCAAAAATTATAACTGAAGAAATTATGACAGCAAAAGACATCAGACTTAATCAACTCCATCTTGCTTCTAGCATTTAAACTGTCCTTGTTCATTCCTGGCAGTAGGATGAACTAATTTTGGGAAGGTATTCAGTTCATGGTTTGACTCTGAAACAAAGTTGATAATAGCCATTTCCCAAAAAGATCCCCTTCTTGCCTGGAACCAGTCTGCCTTTGCAGGATAAACAAATTAGCTATAACATCAGAAATTACAGTTGAGGGGTTATGCAGCCTCTGGCTCCAAGAGTCTGAACCTCTCCAAATTGCTCCTGGGGATAACATCACTATTGTAAAACCTAAAATCAGTGCTTGAGATATTTTGCGGACCCTGCACTGGATGAATCAGCTGACACCACCCAGACTGGTAATATGGCTCAACTAGTTCTGCCACCCCACCCACAAACAGAAGACAGCAAGAAAACATCATTTCAACCCTGTATGATTTCATCTCCAACCTGATGAATAGGCAGTCCCCACTTTCCAAGCCCCTACCTGCCAAATTATCTTTAAAAGTTCTGATCCCCGAATGCTCAGGGAGACTGATTTGAGTAATAATAAAACTCTGATCTCCCGCACAGCTGGCTCTGCCTGAATTACTCTTTCTCCATTGCAGTTCCCCTGTCTTGATAAATCAGCTCTGTCTAAGCAGGGCACGAGGTGAAACCACTGGGCAGTTACACAGTCTATTGGTGATTTCCAATAGTGAATTTTTCAATTGAGCTATTGTATTCCTTAGCTCCAGAGTTTCTGTATGGTTCCTTTTTTTTTTTTTTAGTTTCTATCTCCATTAATATTTTCATTTTCTTCATGAATTATTTCCTGCTTTCACTTAGTTGTCTATTTCTGTTGTCACTGGGCTTCATTAAGAGAGTTAATTTGGATTCTTTGTCAGGTAACTCATTTATCTATTTCTTTAGGGTTGGTTTCTGTAGATTTATTTTGCTCCTTTAATTTAGTCATCAGGTTTCTCTGTTTCTTCTTATGTCTTGTTATTTTTTATTTTTTTATTTATTTTTGCCAAGATTTGGGCGTTTGAAAAAACTGCCACTTCTCCCAGTTTTTATCAGCTGGCTTCATACGGAAGACCTTCATACCTGAATCAGCATGGCTATAGGTTCCAGCAGCCTCTCAAACTTTTTCTGGGAATGCATCTTGTTTGGGTTTATACATTGCAACATCCCAAGTAGAGGTTTGCCAGTTTCTTTTTCTGGAGCTGTTGCTCCCTCTGGTATCTGTCTGTGGTACTGCAGGTTCCCTGGTGCTGCATCATCTCTGACCTCTCCTTTATTCCCAGTGGCTCCCATGAATCCAAAGTATGCCAGTTGGGCGTCAAGTTAGAGAGAGAGGGAGAGCTTCAGGTAACCTCATAAAACTATTCCGTTCCAGTCTTCTCTTTCTCTGCTAACGGAGAAGCTGCAAGTTGAGTGCTTCCCAGCCAAACCAACCTGTTCGAGCTTGGGGAAGGGGTATCATGAGTATAATGCAACAGCTTTTCTTATTTGTTCAATGCCACTATTCTTGGTTTTGCACTTGTCTGTGCTACTACAATTTCTTAATGGTTTATGGAACTCCATAAAGGCTTTTAGACCATATATTGTTTTTCAGTTGCTATCTTTATGGAGAATCAAGGTTTGGAGCCATTCCACCATCTGGCTGGCATCACTCTGTTTATATAATTTTTTATTTTTATTATATTTTATTTTCTTGAGACAGGATCTTGCTCTGTCAGCCAGGCTAGAGTGCAGCCTCGAACTCCTGAGCTCAAGGGACCTCCTCCCTCAGGCTACTGAGTACTTGGACTATAGGTACACACCACATACCGGGCTAATTTCCTATTTTCTTGTGAAGATGGGGTTTCACTCTGTTGCCCAAATTGGTCTCAAATCTTGGGCTCAAGCAATCTTTCTGCCTTGGCCTCCCAAAGTGCTAGGATTAAAGGTGTGAGCCCACCATGCGCTGCCTGTTATATTTAGTAGAAAATATATCTAAAAATATACTTACGTACTATATTGAATCCACTACCCAGAGCTTAACTGAACTATTTTTGTGACTCATTCTGGTTTTTTTTATTTTTTGCTTTTTACTTATTACAATGAACTACAAGTATGGATATATTAATATTAATTAATATAAAATATACTGGAATCTTTTGTATTTTTTTTCCTTTTTTCTTCACCAAAAGCAGAAACTTAAATATACTGAAATCTTAAATGACCCTTGAATGTTTCTAGGACTGACCCTGGAACAAAATTTTTTATGTTGTTATTACATTGTTCTTTTCATGTTAAAATCATTTGTTTCTTTTTCATATAGTACATCAAAGAAGAATTGTTAATATAGCCCTTACCAGCCATATGCTAAGTGCCACAAGTGTTTCGGTCTCTCTCCATTCTTGTACCTCACTTGGTCTTTTTTTTCTTTTCGAGGTGTAGCCTCCATCTTTCACCCAGGCTGGAGTGTGGTGGCACGATCTCAGCTCACTGCAACCTCTGCCTCCCAGGTTCAAGTGATTCTCCTCCCTCAGCCTCCTGAGTACCTGGGACCACAGTTGTGTGCCACCATGCCCACAAAATTTTTGTATTTTTAGTAGAGATGGGGCTTCATTATGTTGGCCAGGCTGGTCTTGAACTCCTGACCTCAAGTAATTCACCCTCCTCGGCCTCCCAAAGCGCTAGGATTACAGACATGAACCACTGTGCCCGGACTACCTCACTCTGTCTTTTAAATTGGCTATGTAAGGGGAGCATCTTGTGCTTAAGTCTTTGTTTTCTGGCCTATTTATATAATGGACATTTCTGAGTTGTGTGTATATATTAAATTATTTGAGAGTATATATTTAATGTACTAAATAGATCTACGTGTTTTCATACATGTCACTATAAAAAGACCATTTGCATATATTTGTTCTATAAAATGCTTACTTTTCTTCATGAACCACCTAGATTTGCTTTTCTGATGTGTAGTGTATGTGAAAATATTTCTTTGTGAATTTTTTTTTATTGTGTGCCCCTACAGGTGGTATGCTTAATAACGCCATAGCCTCTATAAGGAACATATGTATTAGTCGGCTGGCAGGAATTGTTTTGGGATTTTTTGTTCGATATTTTCCAAGTGAAGACCAGTTAAATACAAAATCTATCTTATAGAAGTATAGTATTAGACTTTTTTTTCAAAATATTAAACTTTGGTAAGATCCATGAAATTTAATACTTAACTCTATTTTTCTAAAACTAGCCTCCAATGCCTACTCTGTATTTAAAACTGAGCACAGTGGTGATTGATACAGGTCAATGGCTTTGATTAAAGTCTCTGCTTCCTGATTTGGCAAATAAGGAATGTCAAAAAATATACTTAATTCAGAGTATCCCTCTCAATTATACTTTCCCTTTCTCTACTAAATTGCCTATTGAGGTTTGATAATTTCCCCCAAATTTTCCCTTAAACATTTTAGGGGGAGATAGGTTCCCATTTATTTCTGCATATTTTCTGACTGAAATTCACTCCTGCTATCCTTTGACAAAGGCAACACTCAAACTTAGCCATTTCCTGCCTTAAAGGAAAACATGCCATTACTTTTGTATTTCTGTAATTTCCATCCAAATTTAGCTGTAACATATTGACCAAAGAGATATTCAAATATTTTTTAAGAATTCATTGGATATGTTATATGAAACTGGAGATTTTATGGGTCTCTTTTCTTCTTCACTTAAAGTAATATTTTAACTATTTTACTGATACTAGTATCAGAGATGTGGCAGAAGATGAAACGTTACTAATTGGAAATTTTGTTACTTGGTAGTAAGTCTGCTAAAATGTATGGTGAGAAAGAAAATCAAAATTTTAGACATGTAATATAACATTTAAAGACATAATATCAAAGGGTCAAACATATATAATAGATAATGTCTGTCTGGGCGACAGAGCAACACTCAATCTCAAAAAAAAAATAAATAAATAAACAAAAACAAACAAAGAAACTCAATGTAACCTTTTTCTATTTTTATTTTTATTTTCATTTTGAGACCAGGTCTCACTCTGTCACCCAAACTGGAGTGCAGTGGCATGATCACGGCTCACTGCAGCCTCAACCACCTGGGCTCAAACAATCCTCTCACATCAACCTCCTGAGTAGCTAGGATCACAGTCACCTGCCACCACACCCAACTGCTTTTTTTCAGTTTTTTTTTTTTTTTTTTGAGACAGTCTTACTCTGTTGCCCAGGCTGGAGTGCAGTGGCATGATCTCAGCTCAATGCAACCTCCACCTCCCAGGTTCAAGCGATTCTCCTGCCTCAGCCTCCTCAGTAGCTGGGATTACAGGTGCACACCACCACACCCAGCTAATTTTTGTATTTTTGGTAGATATGGGGTCTCACCATGTTGGCCAGGCTAGTCTCAAACTCCTGACCTCAAGTGATCTGCCCGCCTCAGCCTCCCAAAGTGCTGGGATTACAGGCATGAGCCACTGTGCCTGGCCTTTTCTTTCTGATTTTTTTGTAAAGAGGAGGTCTTGCTATGTTGCCCAGGCTGATCTTGAACTCCTAGGTTCAAGTGATCTTCCTGCCTCAGCCTCCTAAAGTTCTGGGATTACAGGCATAACCCACTGGGCACAGCCAACGTAACCTTTTGAAATCTCAGTTTTAAAAGCAATTATTTTGAAATCAAAAAGTATTCTTTCAATAAGTACTTTCTAAGTTTATGAAAATATGTTTTTTATTTTCCTAAAATATATAATAAGAATATATCTGAAAATTGGAGTTTTTATATTTTGCTGAATATAACAAAGCTAAATGTTATGATTTTAAAAAGTAGAGACACAGGCCAGGCATGGTGGCTCATGCCTGTAATCCTCGCACTTCGGGAGGCTGAGGCAGGCAGATCACTTGACCTCAGGAGTTCAAGACCAGCCTGGGCAACATGGTAAAACCCCTGTCTCTACAAAAAAAATACAAAAAAATTAGTCAGGTGTGGTGGCACGCACCTGTAGTCACAGCTACTTGGGGACTGAGGCAGGAGAATAGCTTGAACTCGGGAGGTTGAGGCTGCAGTGAGCTGAGGTCACGCCACTTCACTCCAGCTTGGGTGACAAAGTGAGACCCTGTCGCAAAAAAAAGTAAAGTAAAATAGAGACACATTGATTTTTTAAAAAATACTTTTCCTACCTTGCCACTCACTCCATCACACAAATGTGCATATATTTTTTTAATTACACATTTATTTGTATACTATTTGGTTAATGGCTAAATCCCTGCCCCCGCCCCCTTGATAGACTACGTAAGGACAGGGACAGTGTCTAGTCGTTGCAGTTGTTTTTCATTATTTCTCCCTGGCACTTAACACAGTGCCTGACATGCAGGAGGCAAATACGTATTGCATGCCTGCAAGGATGAATGAACGGAAAGGGAAACCTTGTAATTTTGCCCTGTTATTCAAGGAGATTCTCCTCCTACTAAAATATATTGCTACTTCTTGTTAGACTGTTTAACTTGGCAGCATAATATACCTTAATTTCCTGTGGCTCTTTTCTTAGTTGTTATTCCAAAACAGAAGCTCCTAAATTTTCATGCAAAAAACCTCTATTATCATGTTAGAAAAGCAGGCTCATAGGGCCAGACTACCTGTTTTGAATACCATGTTACTTGCCTATAACCTCAGGAAAATTATTTTCTAGTCTCTCAGTCCTTCAGTGTTCTCGTCTTGCAATGAAGTCTATGACTGTATCTGTTTCTTAGCAGTATTGTCAGGATTCAAGGAGATAATCCACGTAAAGTGCCTTAGCACTCTCTCTGGCATATGGTGGTGCTCAGTTAACAAACAATGTTGTTATTTTATCTTACCTTCAAGTAATATAAATAATAACTTTTTATTTTTAATGTCTACTGTAGGGAATAATAAATCTACAAAAGGAGTATCTGTTCTCTCTCCTTCCAACAATACTCTTGCAATTTTGTTTCATTATTTCATAATTTTCATAAAGCAGGGAAAAAAGAAAAGCAGGTATGAGGAAAGAGACCACTCACTCGAGCCCTGCAGTATTATTCTGCTTCTGCCTATTCCTGTCGGCTGGCTCCAGGCTGGCTTCTACACAAAGAATATCAAGCTGGTCCCAGGAACTGGCAAGACATAAAAAATTAATTATTTATACAAGTAGAGTCACAACAGCAATAATAGATAACAATAATGTCACAAGTAAATACGATCAACAAATATTTAAATTTCAATTTTAAATTATTTTCACCTTTATCCTCTTCCGCCATTCTCTGCTGCTAAAATAAAATTGGCTAAGGTTCAGCTTTCTCTTGTTCCTTAGTTTCGAGTTACTGATAAAAGTTAGACAGGAAAAATAGAAGCTATTAGGAGAGTAAATAAATAATTTAGTTTACAAATGTAAGATCAGCTTGGCAACTGGATTTTTTTAAAGAAATAGTATTAAATCTCAGTCACTAGGAGGAAATCATTTATCATCTAATAAAAGTCCTCACATAATAAGGTTGTCATAAGAATTAAATGAATTGATAAATGGAAAGCTTTAAGAATGATACCTGACATATGATGAATGCCATATAACTATAAAAATATTATTTCTAGTTTCACCATTATCGTCATCATCTCTTAAAAGTCAGTGGGTTTGGCTTTTGTTTTTGTTTTTTCTGTTGGCAGTTCTTTTATGTTCAAATCCTCTTCTAAACTGTGAGATTCTTTCAACGTGGTTTTCTGCATGATTATTTTTTTTCTCCCTAGCATCCTCCAGCACACTGGATCATGTTCAGTACATTAAAAGTTATGATATAAAAATAATACCATTTTAAATTATTGATTTAGGATATAGAAATTGATCTTAAATTGAGGGGTTCTCTTGCCATAATGTTCCATATCAGAGGTAATGTTTCTACTATTATGTTGTTACTTCACAACTCCATAGAAAATATGTTATATGTTGGTATTTAATTCCCCCAAATTTTAAGGCAATTTCAGGCCTAGTTATTAAACACAAGGAAAGATAGTTACAAGAAATTTGCTTTATGTTATTAAAAATAATATGGTAGAAGGTAACTAGGGAAAAATCTTGTGACCCAGTAGTCATTCTAAAAAAAAACTTCAAAGGAACTCATTCTCTGACCTGGCAGGGGATGAGGAGTGAAGGAGAAAGAAACTTACTACTATCTGAATACCTACTGTGTGCCAGGTATTCTTCACATTCTCATATTTAATTTTCACAACCGTCCAGTAAGATAAGTATTTTGTTCTTCGTTTTACACGTAAGTAAGTAGAAGTTTAGAGAGTGTGAGTCATTTGTACAAGGTCACTAGCCTGGTTGCAGCAAAAATAGAATTCAAACCCAGTTTGCTAGATTCCAAACCTGCTGTCAGTTCTGCTATAACCCAGTGCCCCCTGAATAAGGAGAACAATGAGAAGAAGGGCAACACATCCTAGAGAACCATAAGAAAACTTAATATTTTATTTGGTCTTCTTGTAGTCAAAAACTACTGGTACACGATAAAGGCAACTAAGCAAAACTGGTTTTGTTAGAACTCCTGGTGTTATGAGGGCAACACTCAAAAGAGATATTTGAATAGAGGAACACTGAGAGGACAAGAGTGCAAAATCAGCCCAAAAATGTTTGCATGCTGATTTGTCACTATTGTACTCTTCCTCCACATATATTTGCTAGGAAGAACATGGAACTGATGAGTAACTTATGATAATTACTGAGTACTTTTTTTTTTCTAATAGTCTAGTACTAGATTTTGTTTATTTTAACAGGGCCATTTACATTATATATTAACTCAGTAATATTTTTCTTTATGCCCCATTTTTATCCCTAAATGTAGGCTGTGCTAGGTCCTCTGGCTCTAGAAACAGCAAGAGTCTCCGCACCCCACTTGGAACCATATGCGAAGGATGTGATGACAGTAGCATTTTTAGCCATCTCGATCACAGCTCCAAATGGAGCTCTACTTATGGGCATTCTGGGGCCTAAAATGCTTACACACCATTATGATCCAAGCAAAATAAAACTGCAATTGTCAACATTAGAACATCATTAAAAAGTTTACCTGTCATCATCTGCCTGCTTCTTTTAATGAATTATTTCACATGACTGAAGAATTTTAAAGTAGAAATATGTAGGAACTGCACAGAAAATCCAGGATTTAGTAAACATGTGATTTCAGTACAGGGCTTTTCTTGGACTTTTTACTCCAAAGTTAATTTAATAAAAATAATATTAAATGGAATGCTCTCTTGGTATTTACATACTGTAAGAACAAATTAAATCTGTAAATACCCTAGGAAAGTTTAAGTAATCCCTCAGGCTGAATTTGATATCATAATACAAACTGAGCTTAATATAAAATTAAACAAACTTAATGGCAGAAAGAAAAACTTTGAATATTGAACTTGGTAAGATAGCCTAAGTTTCCAAATAGGAGGAGTAGAACTCCCCATGATATCCAGTAATTCCGTTAAAAAGATCACTACAAAAAAAAAAGGAGTAAAACACATCAACTTTAAATGGGTTAACTGAATAGATTTTAAATTCTGGTTTTGGTGACTACCTGAATAAATAATATGTTAAGTAATAGAACCAAGTTAGTCTTTCCTTATTTCTGCCATGCCCTTAAAATGAAAGTCTGGTTTAGCAGTTTTTAGATGAAACACTATCTATATATTTATTTATAGAAATAAAATTAAATCACAAATGGAAGTAAACTATATTTTTTTCAATTAGTGTTTTAAAATCTAGGCATAAAAGGCAGCCTCCAAAAATGAAAGATTTGGAGACTACTGTCATGTGGCAGTTTCTTCTCCTTAGTAATATAGAATTATCTTTTAATTCTGGCTGATTAAATCTGCCATGTTAATGTAGAACCCATCACAAGCAAAGTGAGTTTTAATTAACTTCAAGACTCTTTATTTTAAAGTTATAAGAGTTATATAAGCACTTCTAAAATGGCCTTATTGAAAGGCATTTTAGAAATTGTTTAGACTTCTTTGGCAAAAGCTCAATGCAAGGACTGAATATTACTTTCATTCCTCTTTTTCCTCTTCTCCACAAGCAAGATATTAAAATGCCACAGAATATGAAATTCACACACAAATTTGCCAAGTGAAGCAATTAAAATTTAAGGCAATCAAAACTATGTGTTATTCCTATTAAGACTAAGGGCTTTTATAGAATATATCACCGAAACTGCCAAAAGTTCTAAAACCATCTGGGAAATAACTCTTAGAAAATACACTCTGGGAGAATAACTCTGGGAAAAGATAAAATAGCTACTGTTTTAGTGATATTTTCTCTTTATAGTTTTACAACAAAGTACAGACTCCATTTTCAAATATTGTAATTCTAGTACTCAAATTCTAAAAATTTAAACTGTGCCAGTGTTTTGACTACTATTTAAATCATGAGGATATCTCATTGTCACTTATAAAAAAATAAAAATATAGGCAGGCTGTTGTGGCTCATGCCTGTAATCCCAGCACTTTGGGAGGCCAATGCGGGCAGAACACGAGGTCAGGAGTTCGAGACCAACCTGACTAACATAGTGAAACCCCGTCTCTACTAAAAATACAAAAATTTGTCAGGTGTGGTGGCACGCACCTGTAATCCCAGCTACTCAGAAGGCTGAGGCAGGAGAATCGCTTGAACCCAGGAGGCAGAGGTTGCAGTGAGCTGAGATCGCACCACTGCACTCCAGCCTGGGAGACAGAGCAAGACTCTGTCTCAAAAGAAAATAATAATAAAATATATATATTTACAAGATAGTAATTTACATTCACAAGAGGATTAGATTTCAAAGTAGAAAGTTTATTTTAATAAAAGAGAGATAAGAAATGATTTTCAAAATGAGGAATTGTGTTTTTGATTAGGAGGAAAATTGTTCTACCTATTCTTTTTATTCTTTATTTATAGAACTTTCTCTAAGTGTCTGTGATATATGTTTATTATACTGAAATAGTCGCCGTTTTAAGGTAGTGTGGCAGATGTTGTTATTTATTTGAAATTTTAAGTTTTTTATTTATAAAATGTTTTTATAAAAATTTATTAATATAATTTAAAAATTACAACCAGTTAACCATGTGTATGATATTAGTGTTTATAGTATTTAAACAAATAAGGCTGGGCACAGTGGCTCACACCATCCCAGCACTTTGGGAGGCCAAGGCGGGTGGATCAGGAGGTCAGGAGAAGGAGACCATCCTGGCTAACATGGTGAAACCCTGTCTCTACTAAAAATACAAAAAACTAGCCAGACATGGTGGCAGGTGCCTGTAGTCCCGGCTACTCGGGAGGCTGAGGCAGGAGAATCACTTGAACCTGGGAGGCAGAGGTTGCAGTGAGCCAAGATCATGCCACTGCACTCCAGCCTGGGTGACAGAGCGAGACTCCATCTTAAAAAAATAAAATAAAATAAAATAAAATAAAATAAAATAAAATAAAATAAAATAAAATAAAATAAATACAAGATTGTTGTTTCTTATAAACTTTTTTTGTATCTTTGCCTATTTTTTTCACTGTTTAAGGAATTTTTATTAAAGCAAAATTTTATAATCCAAATTACCTTTCCTTGCTCAGTTATCAATTCTGTTACTTAAAACAGAAGTGACATTATTAGCTATTCCACACTAATGAATTACAAAATTAAAGGAATGCTTTAAATTTTTATACTTTGCTGAAAATTATTTATCACAGAGTCTGAAAAGCATTACAGTGTTTTTATATTTTATTATTTTGGGAGGATTTTTTCTTTTCAAATCAATAAGTAATCTAGGACTATCATTGCATTTGTTAGATCTGACATTTTCTTGGTATGTAAAGTTCAAAGTTTCCTTTTTAAATTTATTTTATAGTTTACAAATTTTTTCCATAGTATTTAAGGTTTTTGATATTGAGATATTTTTCTTCAGTGATGCTCAAGTTTCTTTCTGTGGTCCCTGATCAGTTTTAAACAATTGGAACACCAGTGGCACCATTAACTGCTTTCTGGGCAGCCTCTTTAGCTTGGTGCTCTTGTAGTACAGCTATACCTTTGTCAACCTTAGTATAGAGAGGCTCTGGAGATTCAAGCATATGAAGGAGTTCTAAATTACCAATCTCCAACAACATGCCAATGATTTTACCAGCACGACTAGGGCATGGCTTGAAGAAGAGGAAACAGCCATTCACTCGTTTCCTTTTGCTTTTGAGGAGGAGCAGATGCCATCATGGAAGTCAAAGGTTCTTGACCTTCTACATGAACAGCAGGCTGCTGCATGGTAACCTGGGGCTGTGCATGAAAATATCATTGAGGATTGTGAGCTTCCATAGCATATTTATACTGTGAAATGGTACAAACAGCAGGAGTATCTGTAGTAGCAGTAGCGGCAACTGCAGGATGTGCTCCTATTGTCTGTGTCGATGTGTTACAACAGCTGTGTTGACATGACTCGTGGAAGCTGTGAAGAAGCTGGTCTCTTACTACTAAATGTAGTGAGCTAGGAGTGGCTTGGGCATATTTTTCAATGGATGAGGTCTGGCACCCTGAGCAATTTAGGGAGGATTTGATCTTAGTTGAGCAGTTTGGCTAGGAGAATACTTTGCAGCATGGCTCTCAGTCTGTGGGATAACTGCCATGAAGTCAATTGAAGAAGGTGCTGGCTGATAGGGACTGATTCCCAGGTTGAGCATAGTTTTTACACTTGCCATTCTTTGCACATAGTGTACTGGTTAATGAGCTGAGCCTGGTGCTCTTCATTGCTTTTCTTCCCATGGAGTTAACACTATATACAATGGCTCAGTGCCCACAATTCTACCATTCATTTCTGAAAGTGCTTTAGTTGCTTCCTCTGGAGAGGAGAAACATACACAAATCAAACCCTTTGTTGTGACAACCATCCTTCATAACCTTTGCATTGGTGATTGTACCAAGTGGAGAAAGTTCTTTCCAGAGACATTCATCAATACCATCATGATTTTTTGCATAAATGTTAACACTTTGTTATCTGGTGATCCTATACTGCTTGATCTTTTCAAATTTGCACACAAGTTCCATCTGCCATTCTACTTCTTTCTGAGCTTGACCAACATCAATTTGTTTTCCATTGAGCTTCTTTCTGTTCATCTCATCTGCGCATCTTTATGCCTTTCAAAGCTGACAAATCCAAAACCTTTGGGTTTTCCACTTTCATTAACCACTACTATCACACTTAAGACAGATCCCAACTTGCCAAAGAGATCTTTAAGGCACCTACCATCCATGTCTTCTCCAAAAATCTTCCTGTAAACATTGGTGAACTCTTTAACTCTGAGTTCTGCTTCTCATTGTTTACAAGACTTAATCCAACAAAGACTTTGCTATCATTTAGAAGCATCCATTTCATTTTTGAATAGATCTTTCAGCTGCTTCTGTGTCTCAAAATGTACAGTGCCATCACCCTTGAAACCGTTTTCACCACAAAGCACCTAATGTGAAAGTGATGGAGACAGGAGGCAGCCAAGGGTCCCCTGGTAAAACCCCACCTTCAAGACTAAAACAGCCTGAAGGCTGATAAACTGGACTGCAGGTCCGGGTTGAAGCCGCCCTTTCCTCACTGATTCTGAATAATGCCCACCTGCGCACTGGGATTACGGGGTGGAGCCTCGGGAAGTTTGTGCAGTGTGCAGTGGAGAGGAGTCTGGCCTGTTCCCATGTAGTGACCTAGGATTTAATCTATGAGGCGGGAAACCCGCTAGCAGGACTCTTTCTCTCTTTGCTAAGAGTTATTTTTCCTTTTTCCTTTCCATCCAATAAACTCCGTTCCCCCTCACCCTTCAAGTGTTTGCGTGCCTTTTCCTGGTGGTATGACAAGAACCTGGTTTTTTCTGCAACAAAAAGATGTTACCAAAAGCAGATGTATCATGGAATGCTTTATAATCAATAGATTTGTCCAATTTTTTTATGAACATGTTGCCCACTCCATTTTTGCGGAGTGATGGATCACACCGAGACTACTTAGTGTGTATTGGCTAGTCTTTTATAACATCAAAATTCATGGGGTCTTAAGGACATTCCACATCCTGCGTTTCCCAAGGAGCGCCGGTGATCTGGTTCCTGTAGCCCGGGATAGAGAGGACCAGCCAGCAGGCCTGGTCACGTGGGGTGCGAGGACAGGGGATGGCTGGGACGCTGGGCTCACCTCTTCACCTGTCTGCCGGTAGGGCCACAGGCTGCGACCTTTCCGTGAAAGGAGAGTAAGGGCTGGGGCGGAAGCCTGGGCCAGGGCAGAGAGACAAAATCACCTGGAATCTAAAACTACTCCACGGCCGAGGAACTGCGGCCTGCAGCGGGCTGGGACGAGGGTGGCGGTGTAGGGTCCAGCGTCCAGGCCTCGGGATCCTGTTCCTTCTTGAAGCTGCTTCGGAGCTGCGAGTGGGCGGGTGGGTCGCTCTCGGCTGCCTCACGGGTAATCTTATACAAGAAGAAAAGGAAAATGTCTCTGGCAGTGAAGACAAGGATTTTTTTGTACAGTGTTTTGCAGGGGTGATGGGTGTTAAAATAGAAACCTTTTTTTTTTTAAGTTTTTTCATGGGTTTTTTTCAGGGGAATGGGTTTTCCAAGATAATAAATATGTGCTGATCCTGGAGAACACACTCCACACTCTCGGCACTAACCGCTTGGGAGAAGGGACCCATTAATGTTTAATTGTACCTTCTCTTGTGGCCCCGTTATTTCCCTTTTAATTATGAAACATTGGAGCCTACAGAAAGGTAGAAAAAATGGGCACCCACATAACCACCACCTAAATCCAATTAATTGTTAATATTTTGTCAAGTTTTCTTTATGTAATTTTTCAATTTGAATTAAAAGTAAATTATAGGCATCATGCTAATTTGCCTGTGTATACTTGAGCCTGCATATTCAAAAACTAAAGCCATTTTCTTGCATAACCACAATTCCCTTATCCTTTCACACCAAGTTATCAGTAATTCCTTACAATTATTCAACTCCCAAATATTTTCAAATATAAACAGTCATGCCCCATGTAACACATTTCAGTCAACTAGTCGACCATCTACACTGTGGTGGTCTCATAAGATTAAACTGGAACATATATAGAAACTTGATAAACAGTTTATGGCCCTTGATATTGGCATTGCAGCTCAAGTAGAGGAAATGACTAATGCTCAGTAGTGGTGCTGGAACATTTGATTTTCCTTATAAAAAATAAATAAGTGAAAATATATAGGGCCGGATGTAGTGGTTCATGCCTGTAATCCCAGTGCTTTGGGAGGCCAAGGTGGGCAGATCATCTGAGGTCAGGAGTTTGAGACCAGCCTGGCCAACATGGTGAAACCCCGTCTCTACTGAAAATATAATTAGCCGGGCGCAGTGGCAGGTGCCTGTAATCCCAGCTACTCAGGAGGCCGAGGCATGAGAATTGCTTGAACCTGGGAGGCTGAGGTTGCAGTGAGCTGAGATCGCACCAGCACTCCAGCCTGGGTGACACAGTGAGACTCTGTCTCAAAAATATACGTATATATACCATCTAGGTTTGCATAATTACACCCTATGATTCACATTTTCTTAATTGTTTTCCAATTATAGCAATTTTTAAAAGCCATGATCCAATCGAGAACTGGACACTACATTTTGTTTTTGTCTCTTATTTTGTAATCCAGTACATTTCTCCATACTTAATCCCTTGCTAAATGGCATAGACTTTTTTTTTTTTGAGACGGAGTCTTGCTTTGTCACCGGGCTGGAGTGCAGTGGAATGATCTTGGCTCACTGCAACCTCTGCCTCCTGGGTTCAAGAGATACTCTTGCCTCACCCTCCTGAGTAGCTGGGATTACAGGCCCCTGCCACCACGGCCAGATAATTTTTTGTATTTTTACTAGAGACAGGGTTTCACCATGTTAGCCAGGATGGTCTTGATCTCCTGACCTCATGATCCACCCTCCTCAGCCTCCCAAAGTGCTGGGATTACAGGTGCGAGCCACCGTGCCCAGCCGGTATTGACATTTTAAAGGAACCATGCTAGTTGTCACGTAGAATATCTCACATTCTGGAATTGTGGGACTGTTCATGGTTTCATTTAGTTTGTTTGTCTATCCCCTCAATTTTCTGAAATTTGAAGTTAAATTTAAAGACTTGGTTACATTCAGGTTAAACTTTTTTGGCCAGAATCATTCAAAGGTGATGTTGTATACTTCCAATAGTGGCACATTACGAAGTTTATGTCTGGTTGTCCCACTGCCAGTGATGTTAATTTTCATTCCTAAATTAAGGTGGTGATTGCCAGATGTCTATATCGTTAATGGTATATTTTCCTCTTTAATTAGCCAGTGATGTCTGAGATTATACCTTGGTACTACATGAATATTTATTCTTCATCAAATTTCTCAAAATTAGTAGACTTTGTTTTTTAGAGCAATTTTAGGTTTACAGAAACCAATGAGCAGAAAGTACACAGAGTTCCCATGTAACACTACCTTCCTATCCCACTCTCCACCCAATCCCTACCTCTGTACACAATTTCCCCTATTATTAACACCATGTATTAATGTGGTATATTGGTTACAATTGATACATATTGATACATTACTATAACTGAAGTCCATAGTTTACATTAGCGTTCACTCTTTGTGTTGTAAAGTTCTGTGAATTTTGACAACTGTATAATGACAGATATCCACCAGTATCATATAGAATAGTTTCATCACCATAAAAATCCTCTGTGTTCCACCTATGTATCCCTCTCTTACTTTCTGCAAATTGCTGAAAACCACTGATGTTTCTACATTATAGTATTGCCTTTTCCAGATTGTCATACACTTAGAACCATACAATATATAGCCTTCTTATGCTGGCTTCTTTTACTTAGCAATATACATTTAAGTCTTCTCCATGTCTTTTCTTAGCTTAATATCTGATTTCTTTTTAGTGCTGTATAATATTCCCTTGTCTGGATGTACCACAGTTTGCATAGCCATTAACCTACTGAAGGATATCTTGGTTGCTTCCAAGTTTTGGCAGTTATGAATACAACTGTTATAAACAGCCGTGCACAGGTTTTTAAGGTTTTAACAAACTCTCCCTGGCAGTTTCTGTTTTTCCTCACTTTTCAAGCCCATGGACTATCTCCCAGTGCTGTTCATTTTAATATTCTGCAGAGTACTTAAGCATTACAGAATATAGAAGCTGGAAGATACTTGGCAGTCATTTAGTCCCTCATGTTCTAGATGAGAAAACTGAAGCCCAGATACCTTATTATTTGTGCAGTCCCCTAATCTGAGTGTCAAATCCACCTCTCCCAGATGTTTTCTGTTCAAATAACCCTGTGAACTTCAGTGACCCTCACTGACCACATCATCATTATTCACCAATAGTTCTCCAACAGATCCGCTCTACATTAGCTCATTTCAAATGTTCTTTTCCTTTCACGCACATACCATACAGTACTTAAAATTTTGTTGACAACAATCAATATGAATTCAAACTAATTTCTTGCCCCAAGGATGTGACTTCTACTACACAGTTCCTTTTGGCCTGAGGGCAATTCCTAGGGCATGAACTTAGTCATGTGCCCTCAACAGACAGCACTCTAAGGAAGCTGGGGAATGAGGGTCTCCATTCTGCAGGGAGGCCTGGACTACACACCACAGAAGACACTACTCTGTCCATCCCTCGTGTCATTTGGATCCATGACTTCATATAACTTCTCTCCATCTAGGAATAGCTCCTCCAGGATTTTGGTTGGTTTCTTTTGCTGGGGAAATGTGAAAGTAACATTCATGGAGGGAACAATAGCTCCTTGGCTCTTCAACTTGTCTTTTATCAGTGATAAAAGTGATCATCTGCCTTTCCTACGATACAGGTACTATCAGGTTTACATTCTTACCCTCAGCTAGCACCTCCACTGGTCTAGGTCACTTACCTGGAGATAGGAGAGGAGGGTGTAGTAGCCATGGCTACTAGACTTGTCCTTTTAAATTGAGCAATCAAAATTTAGTAAGGGACTACTTAAACATCCCTTGGCTGCCAAACACATTCCTGTCTGCTTCCGTTGTGTAACAGCATTGAATTGCAGAGATAAGAAGCAGAAATTTCCTAAGTGAATCCCTGGGGGTGACGGTAAATAGTGCTACTCTTTCTTCAATCCATGGTCCTCTTTCTATTAGCGACATGGGACCATATAATGGTTACTGATCTAGGATATATGCTTGTATCCCATCCCTGCAGCTTCAAAGGGCTACTGGAGACTGTTCCATCACTCCATCAGTTTGACAGCTTCTAGTTGTTGTGATTTCGTGATTTGTAATAGGATCACTGAATTGCATTTTCATGTGTCCACCACTGCAACTACAGTGCTACAAAGTGCATTCCCTTTATACAGTGCTATAAAGTACAATGCAAGGATGTGTAGGATTCCATACTGGAGGATTAAACATTCTGTCAACCCTTGGATAGTGGTGCTGGTTGAGGCCATGTAAGTAGGAAAGATAAATCCATACTCAGAATAAGTATCAGTTCCAGCCAAGATGAATCATTACCCTTCCTGTGATGGAAAGAATCCAGTGCATTCAGCTTGCCACCAGGTGGCAACTTGGTGTCCTTGAGGGATGATGCTATCTTGAGGCCTCAGTGTTGCTCTGTCTTGATGACAACTTTGACATTCAGAAGCAGCAGTAGCTAGATAAGACTTAGACAGTGGAGACTTCTGCTGTTTGGGCCTCTGCATAGCCTCCATCCTTGTCACTATATTTATTCACCAGTACTGAGCTGGCCAATGGAAGAGGATGGCTAACATCATCTGGCTGAGTCGCTTTTCTCCTTGGTTGTTGATAGATACCTCTTGTAGGTGTTAACATGTGAAACAAAGATCTTCATACTTTTTGTACATCCCCATAAGTCCACCCATATGCCCTTTTCTCAGATGTCTTTTTCTCCAGTCATCCAAATTTTCTCCTTCCATCCCCCTGACCTGTAGCCAAGCCATTTGACCATGAGTCAGTACATTCTTACTATGAGTCTCTTCTCTTTCCATGCAAAGTGAATGACAAGGTGCGTAGTGCAAAGTTCTGCCAACTGAAATTTTTTAATTTTTTTATTTTTTGAGACAGAGTCTTGCTCTGTCACCAGGCTGGAGTACAGTGGCGTGATCTCGGCTCACTATAAGCTCTGCCTCCTGGGTTCATGCCATTCTCCTGCCTCAGCCTCCCGAGTAGCTGGGACTACAGGTGCCCGCCACCACGCCCGGCTAATTTTTTTTGTATTTTTTTAGTAGAGACGGGGTTTCACCATGTTAGCCAGAATGGTCTCGATCTCCTGACCTCATGATCCACTGCCTTGGCCTCCCAAAGTGCTGAGATTACAGGTGTGAGCCACTGTGCCTGGCCAAGAATTTATTTTTGAGTTGAATTTTTAAATATTAAAACTTTTTAAATATACAAACAAAAATTGTATATATTTGGAGTGTACAACCTGATGTTTTGAAATATGGATACAGTGTGAAATGGCTAACTCAAGCTAATTAATACATGTGTTACCTCACATACTTATCATTTCTTTTGTGGTGAGAACACTTAAAATCTACTGTCCTAGCAATTTTCAAGTATGCAATACATTGTTATTAACTGTAGTCACCATGTTGTACAATAGGTCTCTTGAACTTGTTCTTCCTGCTTAATTTTTGTATCCTTTGACCAAAATCTCCCCAGTTCTACCCTCCTCCCCCCGCCCCTAATAACCATTATTCTATTTTCTGCTTCTATGTGTTTGACTTTTTTAGATTCCACATATAAGTGAGATTACATGGCATTTATCTCTCTCTGCCTGGCTTATTTCACTTAATATAATGTCCTCCAGTTTCATCCATGTTATTATAAAGGACAGGATTTCCTTCTTTAAGGCTGAACAATATTTCATTATGTATATATACACCACATTTTCTTTAATCATTCATCTGTTAAAGGATACTTAGGTTGATTTCATATCTTGTCTATTGTGAATAATGTTGCAATGAACATGAGGTACAGATTTTTCTTTGACATACTGAATCATTTTCTTTGGGTATATAAATAGTACTAGGATTGCTGGATCATATGGTAGTTTTATTTTTAACTTTCTGAGAAACCTCTATATTACTTTTCATAATGGCTGTACTAATTTACATTCCCACCAACAGTATACAAAGGCTCCCTTTTCTCCACATCCTCGCCAACACATGCTATCTTTTGTTTTTTTCATAGTAGCCATTCTAAAAGGGACGTCTCATTGTGGTTTTGATGTGCGTTTCCATGATGACTGGTGATGTTGGTTATTTTTTCATATTCCTGTTGGCCATTTGTATGTCTTCTTTGGAAAAATGTTTATTCAGGTACTTTGCCTCCCTTTCATTAATCAGGTTATATGTTTTCATGCTGTTGAGTTGTATGAATACTTTATATATTCTGGATATTAATCCTTTATCAGATGTATGGTTTGCAAATATTTTCTCCCTTTTTGTAGGCTATCTCTTTACTCTATTGATTGCTCCCTTTGCTTGCACAGCTTATTAGTTTGATATAATCCCTTTTGTCTATTTTTGCTTTTGTTGCCTGTGCTTTGGGGGTCATATCCAGAAAATCATTGCCCAGACCAGTCTCATGGAGCTTTTCCTGTATGTTCTCTTCTAGTAGTTTTATGGTTTCAGGTTTTATATTTAAGTCTTTAGTCCATTTGTGTTATTTTTTTGTATATGGTGTGAGATAAGGGTCTAATTTCATTTCTCTGCATGTGGAGTTCTCCCAACACCATTTATTGAAGATTGTCCTTTCCCCATTGTGTATTCTTGGCATATTTACTGAAAATCAATTGGCCATAAACGTGAATGTATTTTGAGGCTCTCTATTCTATTCCATTGGTCTACCAGTCTGTTTGTATGCCAGTATCATGTTATATTTTTGATTACTATATCATCATAGTATATTTTGAAACTGGATAATGTGATGCCTCCTACTTTGTTCTTTTGGCTCACAATTTGCTATTTGGGGTTTTTTGTGGTTTCACATGAATTTGGGGATTTTTTTCTGTTTATGTAAAAAATATCATTGGAATTTTGATAGAGATTACATTGAATCTGTAGATCACTTTTGGTACTAAGAACATTTTAACAGTATGAATTCTTCTAATCCATGAAGATGGGATATGTTTCCATTTATTTGTGTCTTCTTCAATTTCTTTCACCAATGTTTTATAGTTTTCAGTGTACAGGTCTTTCACCTCCTTGGTTAAATTAATTCCTAAGTATTTGTGTAGCCATTATAAATGAAATTGTTTTCTTGATTTCTTTTTCAGATAGTTCATTGTTAGTGTATACAGATGCTAGTCGTTTTTTTATGTTGATTTTGCATCCTGCAACTTTACTGAATTAATTTACTAGTTCCAACAGTTTTTTTTTGGTGGACTCTTTAGGGTTTTCTACATTTAAGATCATGGTGTCTGCAGAGACAATTTCACTTCTTCCTTTCTGACTTTAATGCCTTTATTTCTTCTTCTTGACTAATTGCTAGAACTTGAATAGAAGTGGTGAAAATGGGCATCCATCTTGTTTCTGATCTTAGAGAAAAAGCTTTCAACTTTTTACCATTGAGTATGATGTTAGCTGTGGGCCTATCACATATGCCTTTATTGTGTTATGTGGACATTGATACCTAATTTGTTGAAAGTTTTTATTACAGAAAGATGTTGAATTTTGTCAAATGCTTTCTCTGCATCCATGGAGATATTCATATAGTTGTCGTCCTTCATTCTGTTAATGTGTATATCACATTTATTGATTCGTATATGCTGAACCGTCCTTGGGAGGATTTAATCTACTGCTATCTTTCCATAGCTGAAGTAGGCTGCTATCATTTTTTACTTACATCCGCATGCTGAGTTGATCTTCCAATGAACAAGCTTAGCTTTTTTCCTCCTTTATCAATATTGGAACTCCCACATAGGCAGAGTTGCCAGCTGAGGGAGAGAATCTAGTGTCACAATTTGGATAATGTGGGGACCTGGATCACCTTATCATACTGCTTACTTGTGTCCTCTAGTCTTTCTCATGCCCAATCCTTGATGTGATATGGTTTGGCTCTGTGTCCCCACAAAATCTCATCTCAAATTATAATCCCCACATGTAGAGAGAGGGACCTGGTGGGAGGTGACTGGATCATGGGGGCAGTTTCCCTCATGCTGTTCTCATGATATTGAGTGAGTTCTCATGAGAGCGGATGGTTTAAAAGTGTTTGGCACATCCCCCCTTGCTCTCTGTCTCTCCTGCTGCCTTGTGAAGAAGGTGCCTGCTTCACCTTTGCCTTTAGTCATAAGTGTAAGTTTCCTGAGACCTCTCCAGCCATACGGAACTGTGAGTCAATAAACCTCTTTTGTTTATTAATTACCCAGTCTTGGGTAGTTCTTTATAGCAATGTGAAAATGGACTAATTCAATGTGCTACTTCTATTTTATTATGATTTGTTGCTGGGCCAGCCTGTCCTTATGATCTGGTAGATCTAACAAAACCAAACTCACAGTGGGAACTTTTAGCTACATGGTCACTTAATATTTGTTGTCAGATAGTCCATCTCTACCTAGGTGCAGTAGCATGCTAGGAGCTATTAAAGTACACAATTATGCTATATATTTATACAATATACAATTATTTGCAGATAGCATGACCATGCTAGTGAACCCCACAAGACTATGTGTGAATCATCTATTAGGGTTTGCTATAAACTCTACGTGGTGCTTTTTCCAACTGCATATATTTCTAATACCATAGAGCCTACTAGATTGTATGGCTCAAACAGTAGGGCTGCTTGCCCTGGATCCTGGACCTGCTGCAGAGGCCTTTTCTGCCGTAAGCTTTTGTCAAAAGTGGAAGCCTTCTGTGTCACTCAGCAAATGTGTCAGAACAGTATTCCTTAGTATGGGGGGGGAACAATGGGCCCCCTAAAATCTTCTGTGACTGATGTCACAGGTCCTTAAATCTTCAGATGATTTTCTCTCTCAGGGATGCTTGTGTCTCTCTAGGCCATCCAACATGTTATTTCTTACCCAGTCTATTTTAACTGGTAAATAAAATGGAAAAATGTAACATGCTACAGAATGTCCAGACAGCTCAGGTCTCTGGACTACATTAGGACAGAGAGTCAAAGAACTAATATACATCTTGGACAAGTCTCTAAATGCATGCTGTTGTCCTTCCCATGAATGTGAATTGCTTCTGGTAAATTTCACTGTAAGTACTGCTTCAGTTATTTTACATATATATTGATCGGTAATCTTTTCATTTTAATTCAATTTTAAGCATGTTCTAATTTTTATTATAATTTCTTCTTGCTTCCATGAATCATTTGGAAGCTATTTGTAGTTTCTAAAATTCATGGATTACTTTTGGATAAGTTTTTGTTATTGATTTCTAATAGTGCTATTACACATTTGTTATACCAATGTAAACATTTGATACTATCTTTAGGCCTAATATCTGGTCAATTTTTGTAAATACTCCAAGTGTGCTTGAAAAGAATCAAAATTCTTTAACTGTTGATTAGCCTTACTAATTTTATGTTTATTTATTCAATTACTAAAAATGAAATGTTAAAATATCTCACTGTGTAGATTTTTTTATTGCTCTTTCCAATTCTAATTTTGGCTTTATTTATTTTGAGACTACATTATTAGGTATCCACAATTTTATAAAAATTAAGAAAAAATTAGAAAAGTTTAGAAAAAAAATAGAAAAATATAGAAAAAGATGTGAAAGAAGCACACATGGGCTTTATCTGGATGATCTCTTGTCAGGTTTGTATCCTGGGGAAGGCCTTCACAGCAAGAGATGGACCAGAGGATTGAGACAAGGGGGCCACCACTCAGAAAGGGAGGAGGGCAAAGGAACTCCTGAGGGAGGAAAGGATCAGAGAGGAGGCTTTCATGTCTCAGTGATATCACTCAGCAGCATGGCATGGAGTCTGTAGTTCACAGAGTTCCAAAGAGCAGAAGCAGTTTGGGGTCTTTACAGCCTAGAGTTTATCTGTGGCAAGCAGATTTTGGATGTAGTTTCCCAGGGCATGTAAATCAGGCAGGCTCTAAATGCCTACAAATATGCATGTCTGGGCTATGTTTAACACAATTGGATGTTTAAAAATTTGAGTTTGGTGCCAGTTGGTTTTTGAGCTAATGGGTTTCAGCTTGCTGTGAAGAAATAACCTAGGCGCCAATACACAGAGGCCATCCTTGTCTCATTTACATTATATGCAGTGACTCTATCCTTTTTTGCTCATAATTGTTTTATTCATTTCTTTTAGATTTGTTTACTTTACTGAGATTATTTGGTAGGTAAGATTTCAGTTTATTGTAGTTTGCTAATTCATTATTCAAAGTGTTCTAATAAAAATTTTGCTCCATCCTTAATCCCCATTTAAACAAAGCTGCTGTGGGTAAGGTCATCAATGGCCTTCGTGTCATCAAATCCATTTTGTTAACAAAATTTTAATGTTTAAAATTTTCTTATGTGTACACGTTTAATTTATGTAATTTCAAAACGGGGTATCACACATGGAATTTGGTAGTTTTCTTTCCTTTTTTTATTCACTTACTCTGTTTCTTAATGCTTTACTGTAACCCACAGCGCAATGTCCCCAATATTTATTATGTATAACTGATATTCACATACAACATATTTCGTCATTAAGTGTTATCTTTTTCCACATAGGTGTTCCTGTCTTTAGTCTTCTATTTTCTCTCTCTCCCGCTTCTCTCCCACCCTTCCTCTCTCCATTTACGTACGTATTTAAATCATTTTAAAAATCATTTTATGTATCACTTCAAAGCCTTCAGTGTAAATTGAGGGTCCAATTTTGTTTTCTTTGAATTGTTTATTTTCATATATTAATTTTTCATCTACATGTAGATTCTCAATTTTTTACCACTCTTGCTTATTCTTAATTAATACAATTGTTTTTCTTAATTGATCAATTCCAATAGTTCTATAGTAGGTGCTGATATCTGGTGAGAAAAGTTCCTCTCAATAGTCTTTTTTTTGGTACAATTTTCTGACTATTCTTCTACATGAACTTTAAGATAATTTAATCCAATTTTAAAATGCTTTTGTGATTCTAATGTTAATTTAATTGAATTTATATATAATTTTAGGAGATTTATGCTTTTACAAGAGTTTTGTTGTTTGTTTTTTTGAGACAGGGTCTCACTGTGTCAACCAGGCAGGAGTGCAGTTGTGGGATCTCAGCTCACTGAAGCCCCAACCTCCCACCTCAGCCTCCCAAGTACCTGGTTCTATAAGCATGCGCCAAGCCCAAATAGTTTTTTGTTTTGTTTTGTTTTGTTTAGAGATAGGGTTTCACAATTTGCCAAAGCTGGTCTTGAACTCCTGGGCTCAAGCAGTCCTCCTGCCTCAGCCTCCCAAAGTGCTGGGATTACAGGTATGAGCCACTGCGCCTAGCCTCATGTGTTTCTTTTTTTTTTTTTTTTTTTTTTTTGAGACGGAGTTTCGCTCTGTCGCCCAGGCTGGAGTGCAGTGGCGCGATCTCGACTCACTGCAAGCTCCGCCTCCCGGGTTCACGCCATTCTCCTGCCTCAGCCTCCCGTGTAGCTGGGACTACAGGCGCGCGCCACCATGCCCGGCTAATTTTTGTATTTTTAGTAGAGACGGGGTTTCACCGTGTTAGCCAGGATAGTCTCGATCTCCTGACCTCGTGATCCGCCCGTCTCGGCCTCCCACAGTGCTGGGATTACAGGCGTGAGCCACCGTGCCCGGCCATGTGTTTCTTATTCAACAGCTTTTGGTAACATTTTTATAGTTTTTTTCTTATAGATCTTCTTTCTTGGTAAATTTATTTTACCTTTATTATTTTTGTTATTGTGAATATTTTTACCATTAGCATTTCAAGGTGCTTATTGCTAATATATTTTGTATTATGATCTTATTTCCAAATGCCTTACCAATATTCCTCTTTAAAATATTTGAAAGTTCTGTTTTTCCTAATCTCTATGATTTCCTAGGCATATAATCATATCCACAAAAAGCTTTCTATATATTTATACTGATTATTTCATTTAAAAATCTTGTTACATTCATGGATCCTCCAAGATAATCTTTAATAACAAATACTGACAGCAGCTATTCCTGCTGGTTCCTTGTTTTATTTGAAATGTTCCTTTATGATTTAAAATACTTGTTTTGTAGGCATTTCATAAATAGCGGTTATGTTTAGACACTTTCCTTCAATTTCTATTTTACTCAAGAATCTTCATTAGGAGTGGATGTTTAATCTTAACAATAGCCCTCTCAGCATCTACTGATATAATCACATTTTCCTCTTCTTTGATGTCAATTATGTAATTGTGTTAATATACTTAACTGATATTGAAATACCCGTGAATTCCTGAAATACAATGCTCTTTGCATACTGTATTACTCTTTTTTGTTGTTGCAATTATTGATAAAAGTGCTGGGTTTTTATTTAGAATATTCATTCATATGTATAAGTCAGATTGGTCTATAGTTTTGGTTTTTTTGTTTTTTTTTTTTTTGTTTTGAGATGGAGACTTGCTCTGTCACCCAGGCTGGAGTGCAGTGGCGTGATCTTGGCTCACTGCAACCTCTGCCTCCTGGGTTCAAGCTGGGATTACAGACATGCACCACCAAGCCGGGCTAATTTTTGTATTTTTAGTAGAGACGGGGTTTCGCCATATTGTCCAGGCTGGTCTTGAACTCCTGACCTTAAGTGATCCACGTGCCTTGGCTTCCCGAAGTGCTGGGATTACAGGTGTAAGCCATGGCATCTGGCCTATAGTTTTGTCTTATGTTTATCAGGTTTTCATATTAATGCTGCACTGCCTATGTGAAATGAATTGGTTTTTCTTTTTTAAAAATATTTGGGATACTTTAAATAACATTGGAATTATCCTTCTTGCAACCCTAGTACTTTTTTAAATTATGGATTTAAAAAATCACTTTACATTCTTTCTTTGTAACTGGTCTATTAACATTTTAAATTTCTTCTTGGATTAGTTTTGGTCATTTATATTTTTCCAGAAAATTACCCATTTTCTCTAGATTTTCCAATGTGTGGCCATATAGTTGCATGCAGCATTTCAAAGTGAATCTTTCTTTTTTCTTTTCTTTTTTTTTTTTTTTTTTTTTTGAGATGGAGTCTTGCTCTGTGGCCCGGGCTGGAATGCAATGGCATGACCTTGGCACACTGCAACCTCTGCCTCCTGGATTCAAGCAATTCTTCCACCTCAGCCTCCCGAGTAGCTGGGATTACAGACATCCGCCATCATGCCCAGTTAATTTTTGTATTTTTGTAGAGACGAGTTTTCACAATGTTGGCCAGTCCATTCCATTCCATTCCATTCATTCCATTCCATTCCAGTCCATTTCATTCCATTCCATTCCATTCCATTCCATGACAGTCCATTCCATTAGAGTCCAGTCCAATCAATTCCATTCTATTCCATTCGAGTCCATTCCATTCCATTTTATTCGATTCCATTCTATTCCATTACTTTCGAATCCATTCCATTCCATTCCATTCGAGTCCATTCCATTTCATTCCATTCCATTTCATTCCATTCGAGTCCATTCCATTTCATTCCATTCCATTCCATTCCATTTCATTCCATTCGTGTCCATTACATTACATTACATTACATTACATTACATTACATTACATTACATTCGGGTCCAATCGATTCTGTGCCATTCTTGTCCCTTCCATTCGATTAGAGTCCCCTCCATTCCTTTGCATTCCATTCGAGTCCATTTCATTGCATTCCATTTCATTCGAGTCCATTCCTTTTCACTCAATTCCACTCGAGTCAATTCCAATCCACTCCATTCCATTCGAGTACATTCCATTCCATTCGAGTCCATTCCATTCTATTCCATTCAAATCCATTCCATTCCATTCCATTCCTTTTGATTCGAGTCCATTCCATTTCATTCAAGTCCATTCTGTTCCATTCCACTCCATTCGAGTGCATTCCATTCATTTCCATTCCATTCCATTCCTTTTGGGTCCGTTAAATTCAACTGCATTCCATTCCATTCCGTTCCATTCCATTCCATTCCATTCGGGTCCATTTCATTCCATTCCATTCCATTCGTGTGCATTCCATTCCATTAGAGTCCATTCCATTCCATTAATTTTGATTCCATTCCATTAATTTTGATTCCATTCCATTCCATTCCATTCTATTCCATTAGTTTCCATTCCATTCTATTCCATTAGAGTTCATTCCATTCCATACCATTCCATTCCATTCCACTCCTTTCCATTCCATCCAATTCCATGCCTTGCCATTCCTTTCGATTCCATTCCATTTGGGTCCATTCAATTCCATTCCATTTGGGTCCATTCCATTCCATTCCACTCCATTCGGGTCCTTTCCATTCCTTTCCATTCCATTCAAGTCCCTTTCTTTCCATTCCATTCCATTCCATTCTGGTTTTTTCCATTCCATGCCATTCAAGTCCATTCCATTCCATTCCATTCAAATCCATTCCATTCTACTAGAGTCAATTCCTTTCGAGTGAATTCCATTCCATTCCATTCGAGTCCATTCCATTCCATTACATTAAATTAGTGTTTATTCCATCCCATCCCATTCGAGTTCATTCAAATCCATTCCAATCCATTCGAGTCCATTCCATTGCTTTCCAATCCATTCGAATCCATTGCATTCTATTAAATTCAAGCCCATTCCATTCTGTTCAATTCCATTCGAGTCCAGTCCATTCCATTCTGTTCCATTGCATTCCATTCTATTCGAGTCTGTTCCATTCCATTCCATTCCATTCCATTCTATTCCATTCGAGTCCATTCCACTGCATTCCATTCAGGTCCATTCCATTCCCTTCCTCTAGAGTCCATTCCATTAAATCCCATTCTATTCCATTCAAGACTCTTCCATTCCATTCCATTCCATTCGTTTCCATTCTATTCCATTTGAGTCCATTCCATTCCATTCCTTTTGAGTCCATTCCATTCAATTCCATTCTCTTTCAATCCAATCAAGTCCAGTCCATTCCATTCCATTCCTTTCCATTCCATTCGATTCCATTCCATTCGGGTCAGTTCCATTCCTTTCCCCTCCTTTCGGGACATTCCATTCCATTCTATTCCATTCGAGTCCGTTCCTTTTCATTGCATTCAATTCCCTTCAAGTCCATTCCAATGCATTCCAATCCATTCAAGTCCATTCCATTGCATTCCATTCCGTTCGAGTCCACTCCATTGCACTCAAGTCATTTCCATTCCATTACATGCCATTCGAATCTATTCCATTCCATTCCATTCCATTCGAGTCCATTCCATTGCATTCCATTCCAATCGAGTCCAATCTACTCCATTCTATTCCATTCGAGTCCATTCCATTCCATTCCATGAGATTCCATTCCATTAGAGTCCAATCCATTAAATTCCATTCTATTCCATTCGAGTAAATTCCATTCCATTCCATTCCTTTCGAGTCCATTCCATTCCATTCCATTCAAGTCCATTCCATTCCATTCCATTGCATTTGAGCCCATTCCATTCCATTCCATTCCATTCCATTCCATTTCATTCATGTCCATTCCATTCCATTTCATTCCATTCCATTCCATTCCATTCGGGTCCATTTCATTCCATGCCATTTGTGTCCCTTCCATTCCATTTGAGTCCATCCCATTCCATTCTATTCCATTTAATTTGAGGCCATTTAATTGTATTCCATTTCATTCGAGTATGTTCCATTCCACTCCATTCCACACGAGTTGATTCCATTCCACTCCATACCATTCAAGTCCATCCCAATCCATTCCAGTCCATTCCATTCGAGTCCATTCCATTTCATTGCATTCCATTCCATTCCATTGCATTCCTTTTGAATCATTTCAATTCAACTGCGTTCCATGCGATTCCATTCCATTCCATTCAATTACATTCTTTTCGGGTCTATTCCATTCGAGTCCATTCCATTCGAGTCCATTCCATTCCTTTCCATTCGACTCCATTCCATTTCATTCTTTACCATTTCAGTCCTTTGCATTCCATTCCATTTGAGTCCATTCCATTGCTTTCCATTCCTTTTGAGTCCATTTCTTTCCATTGCATTCCATTCCAGTCGTGATAATTCCATCCCATTCCATTCGAGTCTATTCCATTCCATTCCATTCAAGTCCATTCCATTCCACTCGAGTCAATTCCATTCGAGTCAATTCCATTCCATTACATTCGAGTTCATTCCATTCCATTCCATTCCATTAGAGTTTATTCCATCCCATTCCTTTCGAGTCCATTCAAATCAATTCCATTCCATTCGAGTCCATTCCATTGCATTCCATTCCATTCGAGTCCATTTCATTCTATTTCATTAGTGTCCATTCCATCCATAATATTCCATTCGTGTCCAGTCCATTCCATTGGAGTCCATTCCATTCCATTCCACTCTCGTCATTTCCATTCCATTCCATTATATTCAAGTCCATTGCATTCCTTTCCATTCCATGCCATTCCACTCAAGTGGAGTCCATTCCATTCCATTCGAGTCCATTCCATTTCATTCGTATCCATTCCGTTCTATTCCATTCCATTCGAGTCCATTTCATTTCATTGCATTCCATTCCATTCCATTCCTTTCGAATCAATTCAACTGCATTCCATGCGAGTCCATTCCATTCCATTCCATTCCATTCCATTCAGTTAGATTCCTTTCGAGTCCATTCCATTCGAGTCCATTCCATTCATTTCCATTCGACTCCATTCCATTCCATTATTTACCATTTCAGTCCTTTGCATTCCATTCCATTTGAGTCCATTCCATTGCTTTCCATTCCATTTGAGTCCATTTCTTTCCATTCTATTGCATTCCAGTCGTGATAATTCCAACCCTTTTCATTCATTTGTATTCCATTCCATTCCATTCAAGTCCATTCCATTCCACTCGAGTCAATTCCATTCAAGTCAATTCCATTCCATTACATTCGAGTTCATTCCATTCCATTCCATTAGAGTTTATTCCATCCCATTCCTTTCGAGTCCATTCCATTCCATTCCATTCCAATCCATTCGAGTCCATTCCATTGCATTCCATTCCATTCGAGTCCATTCCATTCTAATTCATTCGTGTCTATTCCATCCATTATATTCCATTCGTGTCCCGTCC